>NC_000004.12:134981987-135285017 GCF_000001405.40 Homo sapiens | reverse complement strand
TAACTGCAAATAGTATAAAAGAGGGCAAAAAGTGAACAAATCAAGCAATTTCTATAGAAATTTAAAACTTCAGCAAATTAAACTCAGGGATAATGAAATATAAGAATAGAAATAAGTGATAAAGGAAAACAGTACTAGGCAAGTTTGGTATTTGAGAAATCTAATACATTTGAAAACATCTGGAAATACTGAGAAAAAAACACTAGGGAGAAGGTAGAGCAATCAGTATCAAAAGCAAATCAATATCAGAAAGATGCCCTACAACACAGTCATCAAAAAGATAACAAACCTCTTATTTAGAAGAATCTTGCAAGAATAAAATTTAAAATTTGTATTAAGGACAACTTTTTAGATATACCTAGTTCACCAAAACTGACACAAGAAGAATTGGAAAATATGATTTGTCCTGTGTGTATTAAAAGCATTGGTTACATCCTTAAGACTATTCTACAAAGAAAACACAGAATGGTTTGACCAATGATAACTTCCAAACATTTAAGGAATAAATATTATTATTCCTACTCAAATTGTTCCAGAGAATATAAAAGTGTTTTCCAACTTTTTATAAAATCCCCATAAATCTTTCAATTAAAACCTGACAAGAACTTATAGATGAAATTGGAGAGAAATCTTTCTCAATAATCTATATTTGTATCATTATAAAAATATTAACAAACAGAATTAAGCAATATCTATAAGTGTATTTTAATTATATAAGTTTGTATTTTTTCCAGGAAGGCAAAGATTAAATGGTGTTTGAAAAGTAATTCATTTAATTTACTACTACTACCAATTTACTTCTAATTTGAAGAAAGTAAACAATCTAATAACTAAACAAGGTTAAAGGTAGTGATAAACTTGATTAAAATTAAATATGATGATGCAATAAGATAGGAAGAATGAGAGCATAGTTTCAGTGGGAGAGGAAAGGACACTAAGTTTGAAATCTAGGAAAAGACTCTCTGAAGTGGTAGTGTTTCAACTAAGATTGAATTAGACAAAGCCTCTGCCACAGATGCAACTGTTGGAAGAACACTCTGTACAGAGGACTTAGTCCTTGCAGAGATTCTTTGGCAAGTATTTGAGAGAAAGGAAAGAACCATGAGTGAATTTTTATTGCATCTGCATTTAAACCTATACAAGTCACTAAAACTTATTTTCTTTCATGCACACTCCAATTACTACCCTGATTTTCTCCATATTATCATAAGTTTCTAACAGAACTGTAGCCTACTCTTCTATATCTTCTACTTTCATTAATCCCATGCAGTGTGGCTTTCTTACTAGGGATTTCATGAAAGCCGACTTTGCCTGAACTTCTTAAGTATTGGTATTAGTCAGTATTAATGACTATGTCCTCACCTGTTACCAATCTATACCATTATCATCAAAGCGAAGATTCTCATAATCTAATAGACAAGCCCTCCAGGATTATCTCCTCAGTGCTAGACTCATCTTTATGACTTCCTATCAGATAACTTCATCTCAACAATTCATATGCAACTAAAATTCAGAATATCTATTACTGAACATTACTCTCACCAAACTGTTCCTTTGTAGTGTTCCTTATCTTGATATGAGGCACCACTAACCACCCACATTCCTAATCCATACTTGTAGACATCAGTACTGATACCTCACTCTCCATAACCACATCATCAATAAATTATGAAGTCCTATCCTTTCGATCTGTTATGTATTTGTGTGATTAGTTTCTCCTTTCTCACTTTGTTTCTGGATACAGACTATCACACCTCTTTCCTGGACAGTAGCCAATCTACCTTTCTCAAATAGATCCTTCTTCCATGTTAGTTATCCACATTATTTTATTTCAAAAAATAAAATTTAATAATGTTACATACCTCCCTCCTTTATGAGTTCCACAGTGGATTCCTATCACTCCTATAAGACCCTCCAAGTTGTCTAAAATTGCTGATCTGATCTGATCTGATCTCATTTTTCTCCTCAAAGTGAATTACGCTTCAGCCTTGCTAAACTACTTTTAGGTCTTCAAGGTGCTAGGTAGTCTACATGGCTGGAACAATTATCCTTACTTTGCCTCCCAATAAACCTTACTTCCAAACATTTTCTTTCTAAATCTCTCTCATTCTTTAAGTGCCAGCTAAAATTTCTCCTCCTGTGGGAGATTCATTTGTCTGCTATGCACTGTCATTCCACACTATACTTCCCTTACAACAGTCATCTCATTTCCCTGGACTTTTAAAATTACTTATCTTCTTTCTCTCTTAAAGAGATTTATGGAGAAAGGGGCCCACTTCATTATTCACTTATTGCTCTATAAACCAGCATTTAGTACAGTGCCTGGCAACAGAGGTGGTGCTCATCGAATAAAGCAATAAATGAGTACATGAATGTTTCAAAACTACATTCACAGTTGATGCATTAAGCAAAGCAGGAAAAGGTGTGTAACAAATGTGCATTGAAGTCCCTTTTTCTTTTCATATTTTTCTTTTGGAAAATCTGAAATATTTCAAACTTACAGATACATATGGAGAATAATAAAACAGATATCCACTTGGTATACAGAATTAATAAATGTTAACATTTGACCTACTTTGTTAAGATTTTTAAAAAATCATAAATACTACCACGATATGCTTCAAGTCATATTGCATCCCATTGTCCTAAATTTCTCTCCAGAGACAATATGCTCAAGTTGATGAGTTCCTACTCTACACAGGCTTTTGAGTATACTATACATGTCTGCAGCTATGAACAACATCTCTTCTAAATTGAGCTTTGTATGTTTTAAATGGAATCAAATTAAATGTATGTTTTTTAAAGCTTACTTACCTCGTTATGTTTTTGAGAATCAGCCATGTTGGCAAAAATAGAGCTGATTTATTCATTTTATGTTTTGTAGGCTTTCCACTATATTAGTCCACTATATTTTACTATTTCTTTAAGAGTTCTTTTTTGTAAGTTTAAACAATGATTTAATGAACAACTTGTATGTATTTTCATTAACACGTACACAAGGCTTTCTTTTTATGAGTCAAGAATAAAAACATCAGTCTATACTACACAAATTTCTAACACTGAATGAATTACCAATACATTAGTTTTTAATTGTATGTCTTAAATATTTCTTGTATTAATGTCTATCCTTTATATGCCAGTTTCCATAAAAGTTCTATTAAAAAGTTCAACGAAGATTGCAAATGTATTACTTGCTTTGTAATTCTGTCAATGGACTTGGGGATATTAATAATGTATTATTAAGTATATAAATATTCAGAACTGTTATACTTTCCTTAGAATTTTTTTCATTTTTAATTAACTAATAACCTTCATTTTTATAATAATATTTTATGTATAAAACCTACTTTTTAACAGAAATAATAAACTAGTTTTTTTTTCAGTTAGTTTTGTCTCAGATATAACATTCTGTCATTTGGTTTTCAAATTTACAATTATTTGCGGTGTAGTTGTGTCTATGGATTTTTCCTTTTTTGTGTGTTTTAAAAATTAAACTGGAACAAATGGTAAGAAATATTTTTTTAATCTATGACAGTCCTGTATACACATGTTTGTGGAGCCTCCCCATGGGGAAATTTCACATTTACTTGCATTCCAGGGATATCTGAGATTTTTGCTAATTTTCCCGCTACAGGTTCCCACACAATTTGAGTGGTGTGAAGTCAGGTCACTCATCATAAAAAGCACAATTCTACACTTTAAAATTATTCCAAGTGACTCTTTCTCTTCACGGACCAGGGAGGTCAGCCTGCTCCAGGTCCAAGTTCCTCAGCTCCTGGGGACTCATGAATGTTTCCAGAGAGTTCATTTTCACCTCACAACTAGAACGATGTTGGTGTAAAAGTCTCAGTCTTTAGAAATGAATTTAATACCTGCCTATGCTGTTTCAATTGTATAACTGTTAAGTACTCCAAATTTGAGCTCCCTCTTCATTTCTTTGTCCAGGGATTTTTCTTTCTTGCTTGTGAACTTGTATATAAACTCTAGAATATTTTATCATAGTTTTTCCTTATTTTATTGTATATGAATGCATGGAAGAGATTTTGAAAATTACATCAGATAAAGAGAGAAAATTAAATTAGTAGTTAGCATTAAAAATTAAAACAAAAAATGACTAAAATCTTAAAGTCACAAAGTTATACCTTATTTGGAATTCTATGCATATTAACTAACACATTCAAGAAGTTCTAAAAAATTCAAGGTATGAAAAATTAGCAATGCATATTTTGATATAAGCTCATTTTTTAATGATGTCAGACTTATGATTAGAAAAGATTAGCAATATTAACATTTTTCAAGAGAAACTGTATGTATAAAAGTGTTACTAGAAAGTCATTTCAGAAATAAACTTTACGTTGCTAGAAAAAGATTTAGTGGTAGTGGCAGTAAAAGACAGTTGATAGTTAAAGTGTTGGTAACACCTGAGAAAACAGTTGTTGAAAAAGCAGCTGAAGAAAGTCATATCTTGATCATCCTATATGTAGCAAGCATTGTAATAGCTGGTTTTATATATGTTATGACATTTAATACTACCACAACCTTATATTCTAGCTATTATTCTTATTCTACAAATGAAGAATCTGAACCTCATATTTTAAGTAACTTGCTTATGATTACATAGCTAGAAAGTTGTATGTAGGATTTCTTATCGTGTCCTTAGCTTTAAAGATTCCATATAATAGTCGCATTACATTAGTATTAATTAGAAGTCTTAAACATAACCTGCACATTATGAAATATTTAGGGATTAATGAATTAATTTGAACTCTCTATCAACCCACCAAAGTGATAAAACTATTAAAATAGTAGGGTATACATTTTAATTCATATCTTTCCTATATTGATACATATTTCTTATTATATAATTAAGAAATAGAATATATAAAAGACATGTATAGATGTAAGTACAGAGAGTAGCACAAGTTATTAAGTAAGTTTAGGTGAGTATGAATATATAAATTAGAGTCTCATAACTAAGTAAAAATTGACCAAGACTAATATCAGCTTTTTTCAACATGATGTGTACCTTCATTTCCTATTTTTTTCCCCTTTTTCTATTCCTTAAGATGGCAGTGATGATTCACTTCTCTAGTCTATCACAGACAAATGTAATGTCATTAAATATTTAAGAATAATACTAGTACTTAAAGTTTCTCACTTTATGTCTTTATGTCTCATAAAACTATGTCATTTTAGAAAAAGAAATGAGGAGGATTCTTATTAATAATGGATGGATTGATCTAATTAAATTTATTGAATCACTCACTGTCCACTGAAAGATTACAAACATATTAGTGGATGAGGTGCTTTTTGTCTTGGTCAACATTCCAAATAAAATAGTTGGAGGCAAATATTTAAGGTTAACTTCCTTGTTAAGCCATGCAATCCCAGGGAAGAAAGAATGAGGGGAAAGGAAGGCAGGTAGGAAGGACGAAGAGCAATAAGAGGGCATGTTACAAGCTCGTCACTATTTTATATCAGTTGATGCTGACTATTCGATTTCACCATCTTCTGAGAACACATATGTCCTGCATTTCAGTACAGATTATCTTAGAGGAAGAATTTTTCTCCCAATTGACATCTCCCCTTTGTCAAAGTTTTTTCTTGTAGTCAATTGACTCATCTATATTTCTAAATTGTGCATGTATAGTAAATAGGTGGGTCCCATAGCATCTCATGACTTGACATCAAAAAGAAAGTACAAGATGGGAGGTCAGTGTTGCAGAGCATGCACATGAGTAGGGTGCTAACACATTTCATATTGGTTATGTCCTTCATTTTGTGTTAAATTACAGATCTCCATCTATATGTAATCAAGATGGCCTCCTTTTTCTTGAGAAAGCTTTTATAAGTCTAACCAGTCATAAGGGTATATTTCAATTCCTCAAAATGATTTAGGTCAGAGTGTTTGTAAACAATTAATGTCTTTCCTTGTTGAAGAGGGTGAATCAGATTCATCGTCTTCTTCCTTCGCTACACATTTTAGATGTCCCTGAAACCTAAACCCAGCACAGTGCAGTTTTGATTTAGGTTTGTTTTTTGTGTTGTAGTTTTTCTGTTTTGTTATTGTTGTTGTTTTGTTTTGTTATGAGAAACTTATTAGAGTGTCTCAAACCTATATACCCTAAGGATCTGAGTCTTTAATTGACTTGTCCTTGTTAGATTGTGGGTGCTGCCATTTGCCCACTTGCCCTTATCACTGGCATTAAACCAAAAAGAAATGTCTTAACACATACTCTGAGATCCGTTCATATTTCCCCTGGTCTTCATTGTGAAGCATAAGACTTATCTCTTCAGGGTTGATTATTCCACCAGAATATTTCCTTCTTCTTTTACTTATTGATCCCCTGGAAGGAGGAGCTAATGTGATAATTGAGCGTCTGCATGTTTCTCTTGCCAGAAGAGTTATCTTCTAGGAGCCAAGATTTCTACCCAGAATAATCCCCTACTTGGTTTCCACATATCAGGCATAGATTTTGCACAGGTCTTAGCTTGAGAAAAGTCTCAAGTAGAAATACATTATTTAAGAAATGAAGGAAATATTGGTAGAGAAGTGATGAACTGATCAGGGAAAAGAAGGCAGACACCAAAGGATATATTATCAAGCCATTAATTGAACTTAATCCCAACAGAAAAACACTTGGAAATATAGGCAAGTATATCGTGATGTTAATCTACCAAATTCTCCTCTATCAGTGACTGAGGATGCTTGTAGGGGTTAAGTGTTAATTCACAGGCATTATAAGCCTGCCTTTCACATAGCTTTGTAGAAAGCCTTCAGGCAACAAGATGCAGATACTGACAGAATTCCTGTTGGAGTTCACTGGAGTCTTAAGGCTTAAAAAGGAATCCTCAGAATCTCGGCAGCACCTGCTTAAGTGGATTTACTATAGCCTAGCATACAGCACCCAGACACATAAAATGCTGTTGCTAAGCTGGCACTTTAAGTGTGTGTTTAGCAGATGATTCTTTCATACTATTCTGTTGGATGCACAGGTATACGGTAAGAAGACTGGATTCCATTGTCATGCACATATTGTCTTATCAGCTCCACTGTAAAATGCATCTTTTGGCCAGAAACAACATTGTATGGGTTATTTGGGGATTAGATTAAGCATTCCTGAGCCCTTGTATGGCAAAGGCTTTGTAAGCAGGGAAGAAAGTATGAATTTGGTTAGGATGAATCACTACTCTTAGGGGAAAGTTGTCTGATATAATATACCGCAAGCAGCTCTCTGAATGTGTCACTTTGATGCCTGACACAATATTAAGGACTCAATATTAGTCTCTATTCTGGGCAGGTTGTGTATTCTGCAGTGAATGTAAATAGATAAGTCTTGGTGAAAGAGAGCTCCTGCTTCTCAGTCCATACTTATCCCCTATCCCTGCTACCCAAGCTATCCATCAGCTCATTGTGTAAACACCGGGGTGGCAGAGGGCAGAGGTAAAATACACAAGGCAAGTCACCCTGTAAGGTTTTTGAGAGCTAACTTGCTTTTGAAGATCTCAGTTGAGCATTAACATGTGATACAAAAATTCACACATCCTGGGTACAAACCCAGAATACTATGTGGATATGTCGATCTGTGCATTATTTTTCTAGACATCCTACTTGGGAATTTTTTAGTGTTACTCTTTCCAGGAAATGACTTACTCAAACCACTTGGCACTATTCTGAAATCCACATACTTCAGGTCATTCATCCTTTCTTTAAAAACTGAATGACCAAATGTACCGTACAAAACCCTGGCAACTGGGACAGTTTTTCATAACGCTTCTTTAAGACCTCTGTTAAGTGAGACTGCAATGTGGCAACAACTAATTTTCAGCTAGTGCCAGTATAAGGTGCTGAGCCATTTGAGACTCAGGCTCAACTTCTTTCCCTCTCTGTCAGTTAGTTTTAGTAAACTTCTCATTAGGATGTAGATGAAAGCTGAAAAGAGGCATGTGTAGAACAGAAAGAAGAACCTGATAGCCCGAGACACCAGGGCATGGGTCACTCATGTTCTACGAGAAAAGAGCAGCATGAAAGTATTTATCATATAGTTAATAAACATTAAAAATGAATATTCTTATATTTAAAAAATAAATTACAGAAGTACAGTGAACACAAAATAAATCAGGAGATAAATATATAAGCTCCTAAAATAATGTACATCATTATTATTGCTGCCACCTGAATATAACCTTTATTAATCTCCTTCATCATGACTTTGCCTTTCATTCTGCCATTTTCATTTTCATTAAATTTAAATACACTAAACAATTCTTCAAATTAGGATTTTTCAGCTGTTACTTTTCTTAAACATTATATTTTAATATGTAATAAATTAAAATGCATGATTTTAGATTCAACTTTAAAATTAATTTTACCTTTTTAAACTTCACTAAATTACATGTCTCTTAATTTGTGTGATTATTTTCAAATTTCAAAAAAATGACAATTTTTAAAAAGTTTGTCTTTTAAAATACAACAAATTCAGGGCATTTTTAAAAACTTTTTAATTTTAGTTTTAAAATACTATTATATCTAACTAATTAGTTCTGCTTCACATTTTTATCATAAAAATTTAAAAAGAACAAGTTTAAAAGCTAAAATAAAAACTGAAAATCTACTGCTTTATCATTTTGAAAAATTGAATCATGATAATCATTTTTTAAAAACTATTTTGATAAAACACTACTTATAAATTAATGTGTTAAGATTGAGTGAGAGAAAAATTAAAATTCTCACCTTTTTGTCTAGCTGAATGTATGAGCAAAGCCATTCATAGAATAAATTCTGATTACTATTCAATCGATATTTATTCTGACATAATTATAGAATGAATTTCATACTTTTCAAAACAAATTCTCTAGATTCTTACTATTTTCAAAAATTCTAGATTCTTAGATTTTTTGTTTGATTTCAACAGCCACTAAAACAACATTCCAACTATTTATCCCCACATATATATCTTAATTTATTTTCAGATTGTCAATTATATAAAACATTACATAAATCTCATTGCATGTTTAAAGACTCATTTGTTTTCTCCTTAAGGAAATAATACAAACGATTAAATCAACATTGTAAAAAATCTGCCTACTAATTTTGTAATAAGTAATTTCGGCTTACTAACCAATTGTTCAGTTTTGTTTTCTTTGTAGTAAGCTGATGCTGAATTATTTGCTATTTATCCATTGAAAAGGAATCTGTCTTTCCCCCAGTAATTTAACTTTTGTGAATAGTTAAAGTAAATTTATATGAGTGACTAGATTAGCTTGAGTCTAAAAGAGTTATTTAGTTTAATTGTCTGGAGGCCTACTTAATGTTGGTGTTTCTGTACCTGTTTTACAAGACTCTCCACACTAATTCAAGTTTTAAAATCAATCTCTGATTCAACTGCTTTCCTTTGGGCTTTATGTTAAAGGCTTATAATAAAGGTTTAAAGCTAATTTAGGATGACATCTAAACAAATAAAAACATAAATCTACCCTGAATATTGCCACTTTAACAAACAGCATTGTAAGATTTACACAATTATGCATATATTTAAAGAAAATAAAATCTAAAATCACTTAAATTCTTATAGCTAGTAATGGTTTGTAAAATCACTTTCTTTTCCAATACATTTAGGTGATCACATTTTTCTTTCACTTCACTAGATTAGACATAGCTTATCTTATTCATTATTTTTAGGAAAAAACAATCTTGGTTCTCTTTTGCTATTTATATAGTTTGCTTTCGGTACTACAAGGTTGAAATAATGGTGCTTTTGCTTATCCAAACAGAATTCAAGGACTTATGGACTATGTTGCACTCGCATATAAACTTCATATAAAGAGGAATGAGACAATGTCAAAGGTAGAGTCACAAATGAGACCTTTTTGCATGAACACCCAGGAGCCTCTGCTGTCCTTTCATTATCTTACCTAGAAAAAATTTTTAAATGTTTTGTAAGTTTATCTGTTTTTAAAATTTTCCTACGAAATCTTTTGTTTAGTGTTTGGTATGGTGCCAACAACTTTAAATTTCTTAGGCTTTATGAATAATTAGACCTCAGGTAAGAATGTACAGCCAAGATTTATAGTAGACATATTTAATATATGCCTGGCAATGTTATAAAAACTTCATACTCATTTAATCATAATGACCCCAACAGGTTTGTAGATACAATAATTATCCCTACTTTCAATGGGAAAACTGAAACACAGAGCAGTTAACTAACTTGATCAAGGTTGCATACCAGAGAAGCTGAATATTTGGAATAAAAACCAGGTAGTTTTTCTTCAGACTTCTGGTATTTATCCTAAAAGCCCTCAGGGTAGATGGAATTCTGTCACTACTGTTTCCTGGCCTTCTAAAAGTTATGAAATTTTTCTCTTTCTTTTTGTTTATACTGGTACTATTAATATTTGACCCATCGAGTTGTTCATGTTTGTGGATTTTTAAAAATGTGTCTGTGAATTGAGGGAAAGATTTAAACAATCCACTTCCTGCCCTGAACCAAAGCAAGGGGACTGGTTTGAATGGAAAGATGTGTTGATATGTTCTGCTGACTGTTTACTATCCTGTTATTCCTACAGGGTATAATCACTTTATAAGTTACTTTCTGAAAACCAGCAGAAAATCCTTTTCTTACATAGTTTCACATTTAGTAGACATTTGTCTGGTTCTGAACTGGGAGTGCTGGATTCTTATAAGACAAAGAACCTGTAGCTAAGTATTCTCTTTTCCTGATATAGCTTTCCCACCTACAGCATCATGTTTGAAAATGCATGTTTTCTGATTAGCTTTATGTAATTTAACATGCATTATTCAAAAAAATTTAAAAACTAAGCTAGCTTTATATAAATCATACATAATTATAAACAAGTTTTAGATCTTTTATGGAGGATTGAAAACAATGTCTTGGATTCTCACCTACTCAAAAAATAAAATTAATCCAATTATTTAGATTTTCAAAAAAATTAATGAGGATGCACTGAGAATGTGTGTTTACATAAAAGGATAATCATAAGATGCAAAATTAACTGCATTCTAGTGTCAGATTCCCAAGGGATCTTTGACACCATGTCACCATTTATTCTTTGGTTTGTTTCTTTCCTTTTCTTTTTCTTTTTATAAAGAATGAATTATGGATAAGGATAAACAGCATAGGGATGTAAAAAAACAGCAGGCATAACTTTGATGACAACTTTTATGGCATATGTAGCTACCTTCCAATGTTTTTTTAGGCAGCTTTCAGATAGAAGTAAAAAATAACATCACGTAAAAAAAAAAAAAAAGATGAAAAAGAAAAAAGTAAAAAGAAATCCACATAATTATCTCAAGCCAAAACATCTGTGAATGTTCTCGGGTACCTTGCATGCATCTAATACTTAAGAACTTTTTTCTTTAAATTAAAAGTTATTTCCATCTTCTATCTAAATAACATCAGGTAGAGAAAATGAAATAGCGTTCATTCTGCAGCAGGGATCAGACAACTTCCTTATTCTGAAATGCAGGCATAAATTTGTGTTCAATCAGCCTAGAGCTGAGCCTACAAGGAAATTCCTGTACAGCAAATGTTTCACCATGATATAATTAATTATATATATATGTGTGTATGTGTGTGTGTGTGCATTGGTGTACATATATGGATATATAGTTAGTAACCTATTTAGTTTCTAAAATAAAATCCAATACAAATACAAAAATAATTAAAATTATAATTAATAATTAAATTAAAATAAGTTGAAACATCTATTGTATGCAAGCAGTGTGTGAGGTTAGAGAAGTGATATGGCATAATGCTCTCTCTTACCTCACACTTAAAAATCACAAAACTCAAAATATCGTAAAAGATAAGTAAGCAAAATGAGATGAGTAAGTTACCTGTATGCATGTGTGTGTAACTGATAGGGAGTGAGTGGTGGGAGTGGTTAAAGTTCAGTGGAAGTAATAGAGAAATATCCGTGGAGTAGAAAGCATGATGCTGGTCCTTTATATGTATGTAGGATTTCTAAATTTAGACATAATGGCTATCTACAATGTGTGTTTGAATACATAGGACAGAGATAACTTTTTTTCCTCTTCAGTCACCTTTGTTTTTCATTTTTCAATAGCCAACAAGATCTCAATGTCCATATGGCAAACTTAAACTTTCAGGGAAGTTTATGGTCAAAGTTACAGCCAAACAATTTTCCCCATGAAGTAAATAAGCAACTGATAATACCTAATTGAGAGAAACATGACATGATACCACAGCCATTAGCTATCTTATTTGCTATCTTTATTCCATATAGGAATTCCTGCATACAGAGCCAACATTAAAGTCATTATTATTTAGCATTTTCTTAATTGTATTGGCCGTTTCATATGTAAGCTTGATGTGCTTTCAATAATGGAAAACATCAAGAAATATTTTTTAAACTAATTTCTTATTTAACCTCAGTTGTGACATCTTTTTTGATTACAGATAAAATTATTGCCCAGAGAGGCCGGGCGCGGTGGCTCATGCCTGTAATCCCAGCACTTTGGAAGGCCAAGGCGGGTGGATAACGAGGTCAGGAGTTCGAGACCAGCCTGACCAACATGGTGAAAACCCCATCTCTACTAAAAATAGAAAAAAATTAGCCAGGCATGCTGGTAGGCACCTGTAATATCAGCCACTTGGTAGGCTGTGGCAGCAGAATCGCCTGAACCCGGGAGACGGAGGTTGCAGTGAGCCAAGATGACACCACTGCACTCCAGCCTGGGTGACAGAGCGAGACTCCATCTCAAAAAAAAAAAAAAAAAAAAAAAAACAATTACTGCCCAGAGAATAATTCACTTACAGATTTCCTTATGACTGCTATAAGAATACTTAAGCAGTTAACGTTTCATGGAAGAAAGAGGCACAGAAAGAGGCAGACAGGAGAGTCACCTTGCTATAAGGAATACTGAATCACAGTTCATGATAATTCAACACCTAAACTAACACCTATGAAAAACATACAAAAAAAGTTTTCAAGTAGTTGAAATCATATAATTCCAAGATTAATACAAAATTTAAATAATTAAATTCATTATAAAACATTATTGGTGTGTTACCAGTTCTAGAAAATTTGCCTCACCTAAATGGATAGGTTGAGGTATTTATATTATACACACCACATTTTCAAGTTGTGTTTGGAAATCAAGTTTAAAATAAACATAATATTTGCTGATTAGTATTTTTTAACTGTCTTGCAGAGCAAATAGTTTAAAAATCATATAATCAAGCCTGCAAATACTATTGTGCTGGACAACTTCAGAAGTAGAATAAGGTAATAGATATTCTGCTTTACAAAGTTTATAACTAAAAATGTAAACAAGTTGACTAAATATGAAAAAAATAATATAAACATTAGAATTATCTTAAAGTACACTAATTGTAAATGGTACAGCAATTATTAACTTGATTAGACAATTTCTAGCCAAAATTCTTAAATGGCATTGGAACTGGACCTTGATAGAAATTTCGTACAAGAATAATAGTTTAGGGGCCAGATGCAGTGACTCACGTCTTTAATCCCAGGACTTTGGGAGGCCGAGGTGGGTGGATCACGAGGTCAGGAGTTCAAGACTATTCCGGCCAACATGGTAAAACCCTGACTCTGCTAAAAATACAAAAATTAGCTGGGTGTGGTGGCAGGTGTCTGTAATCCCAGCTACTCGGGAGGCTGAGGCAGGAGAATTGCTTGAACCGGGGAGGCGGCGCTTGGAGTGAGCTGAGATCGCGCCACTGCACTCTAGCCTGGGCGACAGAGCAAGACTCTGTCTCAAAAAAATAAAAATAAAAAAGAATAATAGTTTAAAAATACAAATATTTAATTAGGCATATATGGTAAAATATTTTATTCTATCATTCTCCCTTATGTCTGGAATGGTCCAAATAATGGTAGAAGGTAAATGGCAACTAGAAACAAAACTCAAAAAAATAAAAAAGGCAGAATCCTGGTGACTTTAATGGAAAAATAACATTCAGAGAGGTGTTAGGAGGACCAACTTGCTAGTGTCTGATTGTTCGACCTACAAAATTCATTTTAAATCTATTTTGTACCCCTAGCCAACCAGAGTGGACAGTGCTGAGAATTAATGAATATAAATCAATAAATAAAAGTGAAGAAAATAGAAAAAATAGTCTCTAGGGTGCAAAAGAAAAATAGTTAAATAAGGAACCTCGAAATGAGAGAAGAAAGAAGACAATCCACTCAATCATGGATTGTAAAGATAAAGACAAAATGATTTGCATTATTAAGGTACTAGCTGTTTTAATCAGAGATAATTATTTAAGCGATATCATACATTCCAATCTCCAGTTAATTCTACTTGGGTTGGAAGATATGACTACAGCAAGAAGTGTGTGCTCTTTACAGGTAGGTTTGTTTCATATTGGAACTATTAAATATTATGAAAGGTCTGTGGAAATGCATTAAGTAACAAAGCAGTTACACAATTTCTGGAGAGAGGCAGTAATGGAATGGGCTATATTGGACTGGGTGGTAACAGTTGATATATTATGGTAAGTCTACTTCTAGGTCTCATCACCTACATGGAGCCACATTGATACCTCTGTCTTTAGTATCATAATGAATTTGGAGAAAACTAAAAGTACTTAAATCAAATTTGAAAGTACTAGGTTGTAAAATCAGTAGGTTTTAGGAATAGTTTTAATCTGCCAAAATAAATGGCATTCAAACTTCTGTCTAATCAAAAAATAATGCCAGGCTTTCTCTGAGCCTTAACCATTTATTAAAGAGGAACTGGTAAATAGAATGGTGTATTGAAATAGGTTTTAACTTAGATTTTAATGGCATTTCTGCTCCTTTTATTTTGTTATTCAAATAAATTCCATTTACATATATGAATATACAATATATAAATATATAAATTTATATATTAAATGTGTATTATATATTTATATACTTGTAAATATATAATATGTTATATATATTTTAAATCTCTGTTCTCACTCTTGAGAAATGGGAAAGCTAATAGATATAAGACTAAGTACAGTAGACTGTCTTGGAGCTGAAAGTTTGGTTATATCAATCAAATGAATTTGCAGGTCTCTGATTTGCAAATGAATCCTATGAAGCAGGAGGCAGGGAATTGCACAGATCATTGTGAGGGACTAATACACACTTAATGGTTAGCAAGATCTTGGAGATCGCTGTATTGGAGAATGTTCTCATATAATATGAATTTATCTACCCACTAAGTATGCTCACTGCTGTGGTTTGAATGGTTGTCTGCTCCAAAACTCATGATGAAACTTAATCTTCAATGTGACAATATTGAGAGGTGGGCCTTCAAGGTGGGCTGGTGATTGGGTCATGAGGGCTTTGCCCTCATGAATGATTAATCCATTCATGGATGAATGGACTAGTGGATTAATAAGTGATCACAAAAGTGAGACTGGTAGCTTTCTAAGAAGAGGAAGAGAAACCTGAGCTAGCACGCTCAGCCTCTTCTCCGTGTGATGCCCTGCACTGGGACGCTGCAGAGTTTCCACCAGCAAGAACACTTTCAGATGAGGCCCCTTCACCTTGCATTTCTCAGCCCCATAACTTTAAGAAATAATGTTTTTCTATATAAATTACACAGTTTTAGGTTTTCTGTCATAAGGAACAGAAAACAAACTAAGACAGCCACTAAGTATGCTGTGATGCCAACCACTTTACAAAGCCACTAAGAATGTCTTTTGTAAAGGGAGCATCTGCACCCGAGAAATGTGCTATATTGATGGCTGTCTTCTGTGGGCAGAGGATAAAAACGAGATGCTTCTGTTGACACACATTCCCCGATGTCAGTATTAATAATGGGATTTTCATGATTGCAGTTGCAAAAATACAGCAATTAATGACAATTAACCATAGAGGTGGTGATTATTGAACCACATAGCAGATAAAATATAATCAGAATGATCTCACCTACAGAGATTTTGTTAGTAACTAGTAGGTTATATAATCCCTAAGAGAATATATTCGTCCGTTAAGATGGTACTTGATTTACCTAACCAACTATTTCCTCTATGTCTTGGGAAGACAGAGCCCTGAATTGAATTATCAGATGGAACTTTCTTATACCTCACCAAATTCCCATACTTTAATTCCTTTTAAAAACAGATTTCTTTGAATCAAAAGACATCTGAAGTACATAGTATATCTTTTTCACAATCTCCCGCTAAGAAATCTATTTTGATTTACTGGAGCCAATTACGCTAGAAAAAGAAAATTATATAGACTTCAGTGGAGTGATTCAACACTGGCTCTAAACTAACTCTGTTCTCTTGAATCTAGAATGCCATACTACTTCATTGATCAGATGGAGGGCTTATGACGGTCAGATGATAAATAAAGTTAACTCCGTTTATGCCCCCCCCCCACTATGGTTATTTCCTCAGTTCATGAGTGTATGGTTAGACTATAAATACTCAGACACTGGCAAACTTCCCACAATGCTTCTCTGTGGAGTGGGAGGTATTGGTTGGCAAACTAATTGGAAGCTTATGGAGCCTCCCTTTCCTTACTAAAATAGCAAATCAAAAGCAATAATGAATCCCTGGAGGCTTCATAGAATATAGGGTTATTATCAAAGACATCAAAGAGAGAGGAGAAATGGCCTCTGACACACCGGTTTTTTTAATCTTTTGATCTGTGCAGAAGAAAAATAACTCTTAGAAAACAATAAAGGATTATTCCAAACTTAGGTAGTGACCATTCGTATTTATTTTCATTTTTATTGCAACAAATTAACATACTTCCTAATACTTATTATGCAGTAATGATTTGTTAAATGTTATACATTTTTTTCTATATCCCAATAATCAGAAAATCATAGAGTGCATTATGCTTTTCTCAAAGAGGTACAAGGTTAAATCTTTATTGAAATCCTTTGGGTGATGCAAACACTCTGCTTCATAGCTATAATTTAGTCTATATACCTCAAATACCTCACCACATCATAGGATACAGCATGCTCATGCCAAGGTGTCCTATTGCTGATAGTACCTGATCAGGAAATAGCATTCTGGATGCCACAATACAGTATACAGGCATCTTATAGTTTCTGCTATCTATAGTTCTATGTATTAGAATACCTCCTCCAGAAAGATAAGTTGTTTCAGTTTATTTTCTCTACTACTGAGAAACAGGCATAATTGTGGACCTCTTTGGAGTTTGGAGGAAACAGATATCATATTTAATTGTATTGCTCTGACACATTTACTAAGTGGCTCATCAGACTGCCAGTTTTTAGTTGGACTGAAAGCAAGTAAAAGCTTTCCAGCTGGCTCAGACTTCATCTACTAAAAGACGGCTTCCACCCAGCCCTTATTAGCCGCTGAATGTGATGATGCTTAAAATGCCTGCCTGATCAGGATGATTCATGACACCTATCACAGGCTTAGTAGACAAGTCAGAGGAGCGGCTTCTTAGATTTCAGAGCAATGCTAAACTCTCTTTCAAGTGACCAGAAATTATTCTTCGCTTGTTATTGTGCGAAGTGGATACTGAACACCAGACAACCGAACAAATGACAAGTCCCGAACTTCCCATTATAAATTTGGTGTAAGTCAGGAACAGGAAACCAAACACCACATGTTCTCACTCATAAATGGGAGTTGAACAATGAGAATACATGGACACAGGGAGGGGAACGTGACACGTTGAGGCCTGTTGGAAGGTGGGGGCAAGGGGAGGGAGAGCATTAGGACAAATACCTAATGCATGCGGGGCTTAAAACCTAGATGACGGGCTGAGGGGTGCAGCAAACCATGATGGCACATGTATACCTGTGTAACAAACCTGCACGTTCTGCACATGGATGCCAGAACATAAAGTGAAACAATAGATAAATAAATTTGGCGTTAGTTCTTCTGAAAGTTATGAAGCCAGTCACTCCTAGAAGAACTGTCCTGCAACTGAGTGTGGTATATTCCAGACTCAGCTTGAACAGTTTTTAATGTTCCTGTGTGCTTACTTTTGCCACTTCTTGCTGAACCCATGTTTATAGTCTCATTGGGATTTGCCCATACAATTTTTTTAGCTATACTTAGAATATTGCAGTTGGACAGGACAGATGAGAAGAGATTGGGAAAGAGAAATCTTGGCAGTAAACAAAACTGTTACAAATTGTTTTCTACTTATCCTGGAATTAGGGACTACTGCAGGTACAGATATGTGGCGATTCATGGGCAGTAGCCCATAGTTTATATGAATAATGAGGAATTTGGGAAGAACAAGATTGGAGTATTGATGACAAGGCAGCTTGTGAAAGAGGAATGTGGATAGACCTCACCGAATGGGCCTAATGAGTGAGAATACTTCTTGCTGACATGAATGTTCTGTAGAGGACGCTCTCAATAATTGGACAAATGTGGTACACTAACTTAAGGATGTCAATCGTCTTCTTTCCACATCTGTCCCAGCTCTTGGTTAATGGGTTTATACAGAGTGTGACCATGGTTTCAGGGACAGATTTGCATGGGATCAATAGCATCAACTTCTTCACATTAAAGCATATATAATACTAGCAATTAAAAGTGCCAATCAAGAAATTGCAAAGAACTATCACTATGGTGCTATATCTTAGAGGATTCAGTCGACCACCTAATAGCAGAATTACTACATTTGATTTTTCAGGGAGAGTAGAGTAATTCTTCCTGACTCTCATAAACATTTGCTTAGAAAAAAAAATATGTCTTTTCTGTGTATCATGTTGCTGCAAACACATCTTTAACTGATTTACTAAATACTTCTTGTTTTTAAAACTTATTTCATTGAAATGTGGGAATTACATCCCCTTACCTTGAAACTACCTTTTAGAGACTGTTGAGACTAATAGATATGTCAGAAGTGATGATATGTAATTTCTGATACTATTTTGTAAAAAGCAATGGAGCATCTTCCTTGCACACTAGAGCATTTGTGCCTTGAGTCCTGTACTGCCACACAGTGAGGAAGCCAGGCCATATAAAGAAACCACTTTAGGGCTTTTAGTCTACAACAGAGGTTCCAAAAACCAGCCATATGAGTGGGCCTTCTGAGTTATCCATCTCAGTAGGGTTTTCAGATGACTACAGCTCTAGTCATCTAAAGACTCAAGGCAGAACAATGAGAAAAATAAAATGGCTGTGCAAAGATGCTAAGCTTTGGGATAATTTGTGTGTCTGTCATGTAACTGGAACAGGATCTTCACTGGTGCTGAGTATCCAGAGGTGGTAAAGGGACGACCTTGGTGGACACACGTGACACCTGTTCCAATGCCCTCTCCAACCTACTTTAAGCATATGGATTCTGGACTCTAGTTACATTTCCTATATTACCTTACAGCTAGGGCACCAAACATGATTTTGGCTTTCTGTAATTAGACACACTCATCATGAGTTTGCTTCATAATTGAGTAATAAAATCAGAATAGTAAGATTCTAGACTGTTGACTATTGTGATGACTTTTTAAGTTTTTTCGAAGGGCTTCCAATTTTAGTAGTTGTTGGATTGTCACAGAAAAGAAGTTATTCCAGAGTTTGCATCTCTATGAGCAGCCTCCTGCTTTGAAAGTTCCTGATTTTGGTTATGCAGTGGCTCATTTCTATGATCCTGGAACATGAGTCTAGCATCTCTTGACCTCTCCTAGTGACTTAGTGACGCTCCACCTCTTAATAAATACCTTCCTATTTAGACTATTTTGGATTATGATGCCTAAGATAGAATATTTGAACCGTTAAAACAGTAATTTAACTGTGTTAAAATGGTTCAAATACTATTTTGAATTCTTCTTTAGTTTCCTGGAAAGATAAAATGAAAAAAAAGTCAACTCTCTGGAATACACGGCTCACAAAAGATTAATTTTCTTGTCTCCTATTATTTAACCCCTTGGAAGTTTTAGTAATTTTCCATTAATATGTTAGTTTATTTCTGATAAAATATTTATATTTTAAACATTTTCTCTATAGAAAAAGTAGAATTTTTATTATACATTTTATAAAACAAAAGAATTGCAATGCACTAGTTTTGTAAAAGTTCTACTCTTTAGAAAGTATAATTTATGAGAATAAGACTTATGAATAAATATGCCTATTTCCTCTACTTCTAATAATGTTCTAATAATGCTGGTAACTATAAGATTAGAATCAGAAGAAGTTGCCTTTTCTGTTTAATAAGAATGTCATAACCTCTTTTCATCTTTTATTACTAAGGTTTATCTTTCATAATCATGTTCAATCCTATGGGTACAGGATAAAAAGATTTGAAGTAGCTAGCACAGGAAAAAGTTCATTATAAAAGGGAACTGATTGTCAATATTGGAAAAATAATATAACAATAGATTATCAGCTTGCATTTTAATTTAACTTGGCTAAGTAGACAAACAGCTCTAAGGATCTGCAAATACCTTTAATATTTGAGGAGGAAAAAGAATTTGAAGGTAAAATCATGTCAGCTTTTTGAAGCTGTACACATCCATTGCCGGTTAAAATTTAATGATAAAAATCTTCCTTTTATAATAGAAGTTTACTTCTAACTATCCAAAGGAAAGACAAGTGTTACTCGATCTCTTATAAGAATCAAATCTGTCTTTCAATATTCTAAATTTTCCCTTTGTTTTTTGAGAATGCAATAAGGAAATGTAATACAAAGTTCCTGAAATACTTTTTTGACTTTTTTTATTGTATGCTATAAAAACATAAGTATATTTAAACTATTCATATTACTATTATTTCTACAGTTTGAAATAATGTTAGTCTCACATTTAGAATAAGATTACTAATTGTGTTTTGTTTAACTGTACACTAGGTCTAATTTTTTAATGACAATTTCTTTTGTAATAAGGGATTTTCTTTTTTAATGTGGAGATACATTATTGAATCTAATTATATTTCTTATATAATGGATCTGTCTATCCCTAAAAAGAAGCAATATTTCCAACTGCTTTCTAAAGTTTTATTTATGTAATATATGTACAATCACACAGGGAGACCTCTGTAGAAACCTAAATATGTCAGCATTGTAGAACTAAGCAAAATAATACAGTATCTGATGTCAGATGCAAGTCACTGCTTGATAAGAAAAAAAGATATTTTGCAAGAAATTAATATTGTATCTAAATATTTTATGTGAATAAACCACCCAATGTTCAGTGATGGAAACAGAATATTTTATTCTTTTTTGTTGCTGAAATATGAATAACTTTAATTTTTTTCATATTTACTTTGCTGAAATAAAGGTTGGCTTTTTGGAAAGGAATGCTGGGTAATAGTACCCTAAGCCCCCAAGACAGGTAACCATCAAATCAGCAGTAAGCTAAATCTTTTTTTCGAAGCAAGAAAAATTTTATTTCAGATATAAATTTGGCCATCATATCAAAAGCTGAAAGTGTTCAATAAATTCATAAATGCCATCACGTTGGCAGTAAAATTGGCAGGGGACAAGGCAAAGCCAACATGGGCAAGAGTGGAATACATCCATAGAAAGGGCCAGCCAGCACTAATTGCAGTCACTATATTATACTTAACAAGTTGCTTGTATTGTTATATTTCAAAATTTTTAATAGATCTTACTAGTTTCTTAGGAATAATTTAGTACATACTGATAGCTACTTAGGTGCAATTTTTTAATGAGGCATAAAAATAAGTCTTCATATATACAAAATTGTCATATTCATTAATTCCCTTGCAATAAGCTGGCCTATCAATCTTGTGTTTGCTATTGTTGGATAGGAAAATCCTAGAGGCAATTCCATTAAAATGAGGACTAAAATAACACTGCAATCTGTAATGGTTTTAAAAGATGTCAGCCAATTATTTGACAGTCTTTACATTAAAAACTGGAGTCTAATATCTCTCCCCTTGAATATGAACCAGGCTTAGTCACATGTTTTGATGAATAGAATGGGACAGAAGTGACACTGCATGACTTCTGAGACCATATGATAAAATGCAGTGTACCTTTTGTCTGTCTGCCTCTCTTCTCTATTGTAAGTATCTTAATTGGAACCCTGCCACCATACTGTAGTTAAGCCAAGCAGTCCCATCAAATGGATGTATGTAGGTGTTCTTCCCTCAAACCCAGCTAATGTCCAAGCTGACAGCCAATACCAACAGCCAGAGACAGGAGAGTGAGTCTTTAGACTGCCCCAGCCCCTGGGATGTAAGCTGCCTCAGCTGATGCCAGGGGGGCAGAGATGACCTTGCTGGGTCCTGCCCAAATTCTTGATTTGTAATGTTTTAAGCCACTAGGTTTTGGTGTCTTTGGTTATGCAGCAATAGATAACAAACACAAGCTATTACTAGTATTATTAAATGTTGTTCAGGACATTTTCATAAATTCATTGTTGCATTAGTTTATTCATTCAACAAATACTTGTTGAATGCCTACCATATAGAAGGTATAGTTTTAAGCATTCCAGAGGGTACAACAGTGAACATTAAAAAAAATTCTATCTTCATTGCAGTCATGTGTTAGAGGTGGAGACAGAAAATATATAATGTTTAGCAGAGGTAAGTATTATCAGAAAAAATAAAGATGAGTAAGTAGAGAGAGAGAGTGACAGAGTAATGCTTTTTAAAAATATTTTTAAAGGCATATTTTTCGTAATGCTGTTTTAGATCAGATGTTCAAAAAAGTCATCTCTCAGGCTGTGACATTTCAGAGGAGACAGGGAAAAAAGGAAAAAGCAAGTGATTTTAATATCTGGAGTAAAACATTGCAGGTAGAGGGAAGAGAGAATACAAATGAATAAGGATAGCAGAGTGGCTAGAACAGAGTGAACAAGTGGTCAGAGACAAGGTCTTGACCAGATAACATAGGGCTTTATTGATTACCTTAATGGATAATCTACATCCAAATTAACATATAAAATTTGCACTTATAAGTTTAAAGGAAAGCCATTAGAAAGTTTTGAGAAAACACCTTATATATTATTACATATTTGAAAATTAAAACTCTCATTTCTGTGTGAAAAAGAGACCCAGGGTGCAGGAATGAAAGCACAGACCCCTAGTGAGACCTCTGTGATACCACAGGCAAGACAGAGTGGTAGGTAGGGAGGATGGTAGCTGACTATGCAGGTGGGGATAGTCAATGAAAGAAAGACATATTTTTCTTTGGGACAGGGTCTCACTCTGTTGTCCAGGCTGAAGTGTAGTGGTATAAACACAGTGCACTACAGCATCAAACTCCTGGAATCAAGCCATCCTCCCACCTCAGCCTCCCAAGTAGCTGGGACCAAAGGTGTGTGCCAACATGCCTGGCTACTTTTTGAAGTTTTTGTAGAGATGCGGTCTCTCATCCTCTTGCCCAGGCCAGTCTACAACTCCTGGGCTCAAGCAATCGTCTCTCCTCAGCTCCTCAAAGTTTTGGGATTACAGGCATGAGCCAACCTGCCTAGCCAGAATATAGATTCTGAAAAACAGAGAACGATTCCTCACATGTGGAGGCACGAATGCAAATTTTTTTTTAAAAATATGTGATATAAATAAATAATGTAACAAAGATGCCGGTGTGATAATTTGAAAATGATACAATTGCTTATATAAACAACTGAAAATTAATGACCACAACAGTTTAATGAGATATATAATATTTAATTTTATAAATTGAGGTATTGAGTCTTGGAAAATGGAGGAACTTTAAGGTCACATAGGTAATAGATGATTTGGGACTTAAATACAAGTTGACATCAAGAGGATACAATTATTTTCTATTTTGCCTCAATTCCAATATTACTATAAATAATATTTTAGTACTTGTCCTCCAGTCAATAAATTGTGAACTAAAATAATAATCATAAATAAATAAAAAAGACTTTCTATCAACTTTGTCAGAATATTCAAGAGTCTTAACATTGTTTACCATAAAATCCATTATTCTGTGTCTCATGTCCCAACCTAAGTAAATTATCGGAAAAAGAAGCTTTATATATGTAAATATTTGACTCAACATTATTATTATTAATCATATTGAAAGTAAATATGTATTAACACTAGGGTTAAGTAATAATAAAAATAAAACAAAGCTGGAAGTTCTTGATGTGAAACTTACTAAACAATTATGCTCGTGTCATCAATGTATCTGATCATAGCAATCATTTCCTAAAATAAACTTATTGTACATGTCATATCCTTTTAAAATAAAATATAATTTGTCATTTTGGAAATTCTTAAACTGATATTAATTTTTTTTCTGAAAATGACAACTTGTATTTTATACCTTTTGCTGCCTTTCAATATCAAAGTAGGATTGCTTAGAATTACTAATGGATATTTTATATTTTATTGCTTTTCCTCATTAGCCTCATTTTCTGATATTTTATAGCACTATGTGTCTAAAACATTAGTATGTATTTATTACCTTTTTAAGAATTTCTGTCTTATTATAGCCTACATACCACAATATAATACACATAGTAAATGAGTGGCTCTCAACTTTAGTTATAGTTGGAAATCCTTGAGGAATTTAAAAAATACTGGCATCCAGAGCTCACTTCCAGAAATTCTATGGTCCTGGCATTGGAATGTTTGAAAGACTGTTCAAGTCAATATAATGTATCTTCAGACTTGAACTACTATGATAAATTATATAAATAGCTTATTCATGTTTACCTTGACAGTTATTTAATATTGTAATATTTTATAATCAGAAAGACACAATTTAATGTTTCCAAGCTTCAAAAATACTTCAACAAAAAACTAAAAATTTGATGGTGAAATTCAGGTACTCATTTTCAATATCATCTGAATTATATTGGGCCAGAAGCATATTATCAAATTAATGTTTCTAAAATTCATCCAAGTAGTCTTTAAAGAAAATGATTGTTTAATGGAGAAATAGAAAATATATAATACATTACAAACATAATATTATTTTTAAGGATAAATAAAATCATATCAATTTTACATAAATGTAGTCAGGTGGATAAAAATAACTTATTTTAACAATAGTTCCATTTTCAGTTTTTGAGAAGATATGAAACTTAAAGAAAGAAAATAAAACATAAAACCTATAATTGTTTCAGGATGTAATGGCTTTAGAGAGAAATCTCTAAAATTATCTTTGAAAATGAAAATAAAATAAAAAATAATCAGTGATAATGCTATGAAGATGCATGTTGTAGACTACATGCCGTAAGAGAATTCCATTGTACTCGGCAACTTTTTCACCCTTATCTATTCTGTGCCAAATGTGCCAGTATTATTCAGATTTAAGAGGAACTACACAGTGCCTCTTCTAGGGGAAGAGAAAGGCAGACCAGATAAAAGTTTACAATCTCATACTTCTCCCATGGTGACAGGGGACTGAAAGGAGATGATATTATTGGAGTCTCTCACCCAAAGTTTTGGAAATTTCTAAAGCAGTAAAGCAAGAATCTCTGAGGGTTCCCCAGAGATCCAAATATGATGAGATCTGAATTGCTGCAAAAATTTAGAGCCAAACACAGACATTTTTTAACTGAAAATTGGGTCTAGTTTTCTCAGAGTCAGTAAGACAAAAGCAACTAGTGGATGAGAAGGCAGAGAATACTTGACCAATATAGTAAACAAAATTGAGGTGAGAAACACTCTACCATTATACATACAGAGAGACGCTAAATTATAATATTAAAATAAAACAATAAACAATACAACTTGGGAACAAGAAATCGAGAAATGGAAATTCTGAAGCATCAGAAAATAAACATGCACACACACAAACAAACACACACTCAAGATTATGAGTAAGGTTAAAAGAAAAGTCCTATATTTATTTCCATGCTGGCTATAAGGGAATGTTTAATTTTTGAAAACACACCAATCTGCTCATTTCTCATACATCTACTTTTCTGTATTCATGTCAACTTCAATAAATAAGTTTTAAGTGTTATTCTCTCCAGGTAATTCTAACATTCAATCAAGGGAAAAATATTTCCCAAGGGGCATCAGATTCAAATATACATACATAAGTTGGGATTTTAAGGCCCTCATAGGAAAAATAATTGAGCACCTTTTTTGCATACAGTAGTATTAGAACTACTTTTCTATATAAACCTGAAAAAATGAAGGATTCTCCTCTCCTAGAAATAGCACTATAATTATTAGGTCCACCAACCTAGAAACTTGGTGGCAAGTACATTGGCTACCTGCCTGGAAGTATAAGTAGATGAGAAATGAAAAATTAAAACCTCTATCACTTGTGAGTGCAGATCCAGATTTTTACAGCCTAAGAAGAAACCAATATAAAAATGAGCCTTGAATCAGCAAAACCTGTAGAATCCATGTAGAGACAATTGTGAAACTGTGCCATGTGGAAATTTCTACGACTCGTAGCTTTCTGAGTTGGTTTTCCATTTTTGGGGTTTTCAGAAAAAAACCCTGAAACTAAGGAAAGATCACTAAAATATATAAGCCATATAGAGAAATAAACTATGATGAAATATTATGCCCAGTGAGAAAAAGGCAATATTGAAGATTCAATATATATATAGATATATAGATATATATATAGATATAGATATCACAGATATAACACAGTATTCAAGTATCTTTAAAATACATATGTTTACAATGTTCGCTGAGTGGGGAAAAAAAGAAGCAAGGGAAAAAGAAGATATTATGAGAGAAAACAAGGTATTAAAAATAATTAAATATAAATTCTGTAAATAAGAAATAATGGTCATAGAAATTAATAATAAATAGGTTAAACAATAGTCAAGAGGAAATTAATGAGTTGGAAAACATTTGAGGGAATCATTTATAATAGAGCTCATAGAGATATTCAGATGAATGTATGAAAAAGAAATGAAGAATGAAGGCTAGCTTGAAAGGCTAGCTTGAGAATATCTAATTTATGCCTTTCTAGGACATCAGGAGAAAAACACTAGAGGGACTAAGAGAGTCAATATTTAAAGGAAAAATTGCTAAGAATATCCCAGGAGTGAAGGAAAGTATGAATTCTAAGCCTGAATGAAGATACTGAGTCCCTGGTAAACGTTTATGTCTATACAACTACATAAATGTATATACTTCTATCAAATATTAGTCATAAATGTAAAAAATTCAAAGACAAAAATATTAAACATAACATGGTGGGGAGATTCTTTAGTATGAAATGATGATAAATAGCTGAATTAATATTAGAAATAATAGACCCAGTAGCAAGTTGAATAATATAGTTAACTCATTAGAAAATATATCTCCCAAGCCAGACAGGTACACTGACTTAACTATCTTTGAAGTGCGATTGTACAATAAAAATGCCTTCAGATCATAAAAATCCAAGTGAGTTTACTACTTCTAGATCCTGAGTGAAGGAAAAATATATACTACATAATTAGAATGAAACCAAGCTCAATCAGAGTGTAGTGAAGCAAGAGGCAATCATTATATCATGGTGGTAACAGTAAATATTGACTATAACATCCTCAGGCAGAGCAGAAAGAAAATTCTGCTTAACTAGATCATGTATGTTAGAATAGGAGACATTTAGAAGTAAATTTTCCTGTTTGAAGTTAACTGCCTTAATGAGAAGGAGGATAAAGTTCATCATTAACTTTACATTTTCTTAGAAAAATGTAAATGTATATATGTGTGGTATTTGACTTCCTTAAAAGTTCTATTACCCAATCACAGCCAGGATTCTTATAGGATGTAGCTTCTGCTAATTCAATACAATTATACTTATCTTTGGAATGCAGTAGAGAGACAGAGACCATTTTTCTGCATGTTCCAATGGAAAACAGAAAACAAAACAGGACAATAGATTAACTAAAAATATGTCAGTAATCTTCATACAAGTAAATAGTTATGATACTAACATGCTAACAATTAAGTTTGGCTTTAAAATTCCCAGCAATATTTAATGGGCTATTTGAAAAAGCTCAAGTTGAAATACAAGAAATCAATAAAAAATAAGATAGCAGAAGATAAGATCTGGAACATGTCAGAACACTTATGATAGAAATCCTATTAAATCATGTGATAAATAAGGCTTAGTTTCAATATAAATTAAAATTGATGCTAGAGAAAATAGTGTCATTGCATAAAGATTTAAAAATTAGCAGAAGGTGTGTGCTAAAGGAAAAAAAAAATCTAATGAATGATAAATAATCAAAAGTAGTAATCTATGTCCCTGTAGCTAAAGAATAGATGCATGGAGAAGAAAACAAAAAATATACAATAAAAGAGAATTTTTTCAGAATAATAGCAAATATCATTCTATAAGTCAAAAGGTACACAGTGTTCCAGGAAAATCTGATACTCAATCAGCCTCAGCTAGTTTATCAAACACATACAGAAATGAGTGAAAATTATCTTTAAAAGAATTATTTTTTGAATATGATATGCCTAGGTATAGAGAGATCAGTTTCTATTTTGCCTGTCTCAGAACTCTGATGAGTCCCAGCATACTCTTGATGCCTGGGACCACTGAGAACAAACAAGAGTTAAGTATCTTGCTGCTATTCCAGAGGACACAAGGTACAGCAGACAGAGGCTGATGCAGCTTGGTGGCCTTTTGGTGTGGGGGATTGGGGGGAGAGTGTGAATAGGCAAGCACTTTGTTTGTTGTACTAAGGAACTCAAAATGATAGGCTTTTTGTCACCATGTGCTTCCAGGATCTCTGTTGCATGAGCAGAGATAGAGGATCTTGCACAAACAATTAAATGCTCTAGCCATAAGTAGTGCAAGTTTCCTTTGCTTGAAATTTACTGCTGATAGCCACTTGGTCACACCTTACTTCCAGAGGCTAGGAAGTACAGTTTTCCCACAGTCTAAGAATGAAAGAGAATTAACCACAGTAATGCATAGCACTCATACCATGGATGACTGGATAATTTTAAAAGAATGAAATATGCAAGTTATCAACTTTTTGTATAAATATTCTGTTCTCATTTATGTTAAAACACATTAATACAAACAATATATGTATATTTTTATTATTTATTATTTATTTATTTGAATTTCTTTAAAATTACTTATTTTATTTTTTTTTAAATGAATCATTGAACTCCTAGGTATATTGGGATAGTTCAGTTATTAAAGAGAAGAGAAATTGGAAAAGCCTCCTTAAAGCCACATAATAGCATCTTTTGAAAAATCGATGGCTATAAGGCTGAGTAAGGTCAGGTAAGTCAACTTTTAATTATGTTTAACCCTTTTCTGGTCTTAGAATAGGCATTCTGTGGCATTCAGGAGCAACAATGAAGATATAGAAAGCAATCATAAGGAATAAATATGTTGTTGTATAAGATACAGTGATATTGTATTGGAATGAGTCTTCATTAGACTTGTGAAAGTCTTCTTGAATTTTCACTCTTTTTCAACAATAACCATTTAAAATAAAAATACTATTGAGTTGAACTAAAAGCGAAGACATTACCGTGTCACTGAGCCACCATTTCATCCCCACACTGTCCATGTCTAGCAATGTTTATTATGTGAGACAAATAAGCAATTTAATTGTTTAAGCCACTGTTGATCTTTTGTTGTTTCCAGCTGAACACCTAACTCGCTGTTTTGTGTACGTCGAATGAATATGTCAAATGAATAAACTTAGGAAATGCAGTATTACTTAGTAAATAAAATTTATTTGTCAAATATACAATTTCATTTCATGACTTCATGGAAAAAAGGAAATAAAGGTCATTTTGCTAAGAACTGAGAAAACGGATTCGCTATTTCTAAAGTTGAGCTAGCTTTCTTACAAATTACTTGCCATCTGAGGTCCAAATATGCCTCCTGCTCTTTAGAAGTCATTAATCTGGCGACCTGAGCACAAAAGTTCTAACTGAAATGTTTAATTCAGTGACATGCTATCAGCGTGACAGAGGTAGACAACTTTGTACAAATTAAGTTTTAAAGTGTAGGACCACCAACTTTTCTCTAACCAGAGATGTTTTTGATTGGGGGCAAATTATCGTTTTGTGAATGTATGACAGCTCAAATTTTGGGAAAATGCACCAGGCCCACTTAATTTAAACTTTTATAAATAGCATGCTCTTAGTTACAAATCCATGGGAGCTAGAATAAAATGATACGATACAAAGTTAGAAAATTGACAGTGGTTTCAAATTTGGAAATTAAAAATAATAGTCAATGATAAGTGCATATTAATATTTGTGAAATATTACAGTTAAAACTGTACTATTTAGTCTTCCCTATTCTAGACAGTCTCCTGTCTAAACAGTTATAGCTTTTGTAACCAGTCTTATAACTACTTTGCCTAAAAATTTAATTCATATCACCCCTTCTGGATTTGGAAAACCAAACAAAGAATTTTATTTCATAAAACAATTGTCATATACATAGCATCTATGTCTGAGTTGAAAAGAGCAAGCAGACAAAAAAGCAACATTCTTTTCTTCTAATATGTCCTTACTGTGCATATTTTAATGTTTAGTTAACTGCTTTTTTTTCTTTTCTTTCTGGAAGTAGAGTAGAGCCCATGTCAACATAGTAGCAATACATACTATGTAGCCTATGAAAAGATTTTGATGTACAGTTATCACAAAAGGAGGGAGACAGAAGTCCAAGAGTAAGGAACAAAGATGAAAATGAACATGCAATACGAAGTCCTTGGAAAGACTTTACACATAAGAAGCCACAAGAATAAAATAAATAATAAATGAAAGTCAAACTCCCTGTGAAATATTTTTGGACTCTCAGTATGCTAACAACAGATCAAAAAAAGCTATCTTTCATCACCACCCTTCAGTTTAATTGTTGGTATAGAACTGCTATTTGGGTACTTGCTTCATTTCTAAGTCATTTGCACTGTTCTACTAAAAGGCATGCTTAAAAATTTGTTTCTTTTATGACCTTTAACAACCATTATCTAGTTCTCAAAATTAATTATTTATAGCAATGAAAGTTGGGATTCCCAAAGAAATGAAACATTTATTTGTGACCTGGCTGGCATGCAAACATTAACCTTTAACTATATCCCATCTATTCTGATTCGTCTGTTGGCACAGTGACAGAAGTTATTATAGGAAGTTCAATACCTCATGCTTAAATTTTGTAAATTAAAGAGTCCTGAAATTGTGATGCAATCTTCCAAAACATATGTTACTTTCTGGGGATATTCTGGGTATTTTAAGAATCTACTTCCATACTTTCTGTGTTCTGATCTACTAATGAATAAAAGCATTCTCACGACATTTTTATTGTACTTAGAAATGACAGAAAGCTGTAGCATTGATAAGCAAAATACATGATTTCATTAAAGACTTGAAAAGTATACATAGAAATGGCTTGAAAGGTCTTGTCATCTTACAAACTGATTTCACAAGGAAATGTGGATGCTCAATTAAAAGGGAATATGTTTTTCCCATAGCCTTGTGGATTTCAGCATCATAGACAGAAGAACATGAGCATAAGGGATGATGTTTGATCCCTTTTGTGCGTAAAAGAAGGTAGAAACTGGGAAAAAATTAAGAGTTGAAACATGATACAAGTGGCATAATACAAATATATTAAAAGAGTATATGAATTTCCTTATACTCCATTTTTACATATGACAAAATAGTGAATGCACTTATGTTAAGGATCAAGGGAAGAAAAAGAAAGATGGATAAAGTACTTACTAGTGTACAACAGAAAAAAGGGAGTGGAAAAATTTTAATATTGAACAACAAAAGAAGAAATTAGAAGCATGAAAATTTTGTGCTCAGTTACTTACATCAAAATGCCCACAAAATGGTTCATAAGTTAATAATAAGCAAAATACTATTATATTTAGAACCATTGTTTCTCTATTGTGATGTTCCACAGAAATTTAATAACTTGTTATTAATCTTACAAGCATCTGCCTGGTACTCTATTTAAGGTATCTAATTTTTAATATTCTTTTGAATTTATTGTCTTATTTGTGGCCTTTAGTACTTGACAGCTATGAATAAAATTAAATTACAACTCTACCTTTTGAAAAGTTTAGTGTATGTGTTGGTTATTAAACTGTTTCATAGTCTTCAAAATGTTGTACCTACTTGTCTGATGCACAATCAAATTTACTCTGCACCCAATGTTTCCTTGTGGAAAATAAACTTCAGGAAAGTAAGTTTATTCAGAATAGCGTGTATTTCCACTGCTCCTTGGGCACATACCTACTTTTGAAGATGACAGAAATATGTCACTAATGTCTCTGCTTACATAACTAGTTGCAAGTGTAGTTATGCACAAATTAAAGGATAGAAAATATATGATAAAAATAATTAGGTCAGATTACATATACAAACAAAATAGTAAGCGTGATTGGATTACACACACAGGGCTAAGCTTTCAGCTCACTACTTGGATGGCATAGGGCAAGTTATTTACGTGCTCTGGGCCCGTTTTTTCATCTATAAAATGGGGGAAATGTTGCTGAAGATTATTATATGAAAAGTGCTCTGGACAATAACTGACACACAATAATAAATTGTTAAATAAACTAATTGAAAATTGCCATAATTTTGAAAAGATTTTAGTGATATGTAACTGCAATATTTTATAGTACATAATATAGGATAATCAATAATGTGTGATATATTACATAACATATAATGATCATATATTCACATATACAATTACTAGTTGAATTACACAATTTACTAGGCTTCCCAAAATACGTTCATACCTCAATGAATATACCATTTCCAGTTTTCACAATTTTTTTCTTATTTTATCTCATCATACAAATTCCGATAATTTTATAGTATTTATTGCAAATGGTACTTTAAAATGCTTCTCTGATTTATTCCTTTCAGGTATCTCCTTCTACTTGCTTTTAAACATGCTGTGTTTATATTTAGCACATAGTATTATAGTTTTCATATTTATTATTTATTTTTATTTGTACATCATGACTTCTTTAAAGATATGGACCCTATCTTAATATATGTTTTTAAAATTCTGTTGTTCAAAAAATATCCCCCTTTTATATTGTAAATTTTTAAAGAACTTATGAATGATTAATACATAATATTTACTCTTTTACTACCTACATAAGCCCTAAGTCCAGAGCGGTATTTCATAAATATACATTGTATTAAGAAAGAAAGGAAAATTATATTTCATCCTACCTGATTCCCACTGCATTGCCCAGGGGAGTAATTACCCATGGAAAAATGAGTGAATCTCTATGGCTATTCACTTTGCAGCACACCGAGTAGATCTTCTGGTGAAGCAGCAGCTGGATTGTGGGTCAAGCTCAGCTGTATAGAACATCTGGCCTTCTGACTTTCAGTTTGGGGCAGGAATTTAAACTAGAATTTGTTTTTTCCACCTATGGCATTATAACATATACACATGCTACTTGTTATATTTCACTTTCTGCTACTCTGGAGCCAAAATTTGCAAACTCTTTTTTACCACAACCCACAGGAAAAAAAATATGTATTATAACTATGAAAAACACCACACATGCACACACGTAGACACACATAATTTAAGCACAAGCATAGGAAATAAAATTAATTTTGCAACCTGTGATATACTTTGATTTTTTTATTATACTTTAAGTTTTAGGGTACATGTGCACATTGTGCAGGTTAGTTACATATGTATACATGTGCCATGCTGGTGCACTGCACCCACTAACTCGTCATCTAGCATTAGGTATATCTCCCAATGCTATCCCTCCCCCCTCCCCCAACCCCACCACAGTCCCCAGAGTGTGATATTCCCCTTCCTGTGTCCATGTGATCTCATTGTTCAATTCCCACCTATGAGTGAGAATATGGGTGTTTGGTTTTTTGTTCTTGCGATAGTTTACTGAGAATGATGATTTCCAATTTCATCCATGTCCCTACAAAGGACGTGAACTCATCACTTTTTATGGCTGCTTAGTAATTTTTTTTTATTATACTTTAAGTTTTAGGGTACATGTGCACAACTTGCAGGTTAGTTACATATAGTCTCGTTTTATCTACTTCTCTTTCATATTCTTATCTATTTTATCTCATTTTATTTTTGAAGTTGTTTGTTCTGATTGAAACAGAATGCATCTGGTGTGTTGTAAAACTTTCCTTGAAGGATGACATCCTATATCAGGAATATCACACAACATTCCTTCCCCTCTTCTGCCCAAGTGAAAATTTTATATGCTTAATAGTCTGTGTTCTTAATCAAATCATCTATCACACACCCTCAAATTTTTAATAAAATCTCTTCAACCATTTCATATAGTGCTCAAACTCACCGAAAAGCATGAGGTTAAATTGAAATAGTTACAATAACAGATTTTTTTTAGAACAGGCTCTCTCTTAACTTCCAAAGCCTGGTATCAGAGCTTTATGTTTACATAACGCACATTTGAATGTCTTCATTATTTTATATGTTGCTTTTTACTCGTATGTTTTGTAGAAACTCATTAAGCTGGAATTGAGTTATCTTCCTAAATTTTACTATACAGGAAATTATCCTTTTCCATTTTAACAAGAAAGGTGCTGCAATTGTTCTTTACACAAAAGTGAAGGGGATTGAACATCCCTACCTCTGTCTCCAGCTAGGCTGCTATATCAAACAAAAGTCTTTCTCATTATGATGAATGCAAAAACCTGGCTGTCCCTAAGAAGCTAACCACTGGAGGGTAAATAGCTAAAACTCCTTTTTAAGAAAATATAATTTCTCCACAGGAGAACAACGGGACAGGGAAGTTTCTGGGCAGCAGCTGCAGTTCTGTCCCCAATGTGTCCCAGGCTGAGCTTGATTTGATGCTCTGCCTCCCATGGAGGGCATAGATATAGAAGCTAGCTTATCCAGTGCCTTTAACTTCTAATGCACATAGCAGGAATTGGTTTTACCTCCACAAATGAGCATCCAACCTCTATTTAGTTAATTTCACAATGACTTGCATTTTCTGTACTAGGAAGAATGAAAAAAAAATAGTTACACAAATAATTTAAATCCCACATTATATTAATTATGATTCCATGCATTCAAAATTACCAGTATTATGAAGGCTATGATTTAAAGCAATTTTCCTAAAATGTTTCAAGTTGCTATAATTCTGGAGTAACAGACACACACAAAATAATTACACAGTGTAAGTGTTCCCTTTTTGTAATACACTATTTGCCCATATAAAAGCATCTAAACCAATGCATTGATTTTTTTACTTAGTATCATATAGAATAACATGTATAATAAAAGTTAATAAGAGCTGCAAGCACAGAGAAAATTAGGCCACCAAATGTGACATATTTAACTAGTGAGGTCAGCATTTTATACATTTATGAGTTTAATTACTCTAAGTTTTTATTAAAAGCCTTTGCAAAAATATTCCTTTCATTTTCTGTAGTTAACATTTCAGCAAACAGAAGTTTATTTGTAATAATAGTGTACTTACAAAAAGGCTGACAGTTACCTATGTTCAAAAATTATTTCAGACTCTTTAAGCTCAAGAAATTCCAACTTGTAATGCTAATTATCTATATGACAGCTCTTTATTCTAAATGAATATGGAAGTAGCTAAATTTATTTGTACATTAATAAATTTCAATAACTTCTAAAAAGATTGTATCTTATCCTCACTTAATAATTACCCAGAGCAATATTTGATAACTTTATATACAATGAATGGCATAAATCCTAGCTCAAAATATATCTCTTTGTCATTAGCGAGAATAAATATAACTCTTAGGATAAACCAGGTAAGTATTCCCTGTTATCTGAGCAAAGCAAAGAAGCAGTGACCTACTTTCCTTTCACATTTTGCCTACCAGCAGCATTAAATCAAATGGAACACATTAAAACCGTCACGAAAGGCAGACAATAGTTTCCCTCTGATTGCCTGCCTCAGCCTGGTAGCAGTGTGAAAGTTACAAAAGTCATTTGTATCAACTCATTACCATGTCACCTCATTTCATGCCCCTGCTGGATAAGTGGCAATAAGCCCCATGTTAGCGTATTCCACATTGTCACCATTAGAACAAATCCTAATAGCACCCAGCTGTCGAAGATTACCCCAGACAGTTATTGAGATTTAGGAGGGGCAGCTTGCTACTGATTTAGGATGTATTCTTTCGAATGCCCTATCATTTATTCTAGAATGGAGAAATAAAGCTAATTTTATGAAGAGTACTCATGAATTATTTTCTTCATGTCAGATACTATAATACTCCCAACAGAGTGTTCTTCTTGAACTTTCATTCAAGGTAATGATGTTGTTGCATCTTACACAGGCACTTAAAATGCAGTTTAATGCCACAACCACTGCCAAAGCCCCTGTGTGAATTCTTAGGACATTAAATTAACTAAAAAACTGAACAGTAAAACGAAGAGCTTTAATGTATTAAAACTTTTCTTTCTTCTTTCAGGATGACAATGAACAAAGAATTAGCCCTCTGAAATGGTAAGGAAACTGGTTTATTCTAGTAATTCAGTGGTCTTACAGAGGCGCATAAGATAGAAACAATTACAGAAGTGCATTTTCATAGTTCCTTCATGACATTTCTAAGAACTGATCTTCTAGAATAAGACTTTCAGCACTCTCTGCAATCTGCCCATTGTACAGACAGTTTGTGGCAAGAATAACTACTGTTTTAAGATATATTTGTATAGCACAGCATTCATTTTACTGTGTTAATGATTATTGATCTTACAATTTATCACATTTTCCATATATAAGTTTTACATTAATTTATTAAGTTGGAGAGAGAAAACTAAATAAGACAATCTGCTTAGGTAATTAAACTTGCTTCAAGTTTACCTTCTGCTAAATCACTACTCATGTAATACGTAAGCACACAAATGGTCTATCTGCTTGTGTAGCATGCAGAACATTAAAACTGAAGTGAGCCATTATGTAATGTAAAATTTTTACTGTAACTTTCTTTTGCACACCAAAATATTACCTATAATGATCTGCCTTTTTAAGATGTTTATAATGGCAATGGTTAGGATTGTTCTTTAATCAATACAAAAACTTCAGGAAGCTGAGGAAATGAGGGGTAGAGGGAGAAAGATTAAGTCACTTTTGTATATGTGAAAAATTATGATAAGATTTAACTCAGAGTCCTTGTGATAATTACATTACACAATAAAATCTTATTAAAAATGAGCTTGTATAGGAATACTGTATAAAAATGTTATACAATCTTAACTTTTGAATTGAAGCAAATATGCATTTAATTACTGAGTAACTTATGATTACTTCTCATTTCTATTCGTGCTTATATATTTGCAAAGCAAGCTGCCTTTGATTAATTGTAATGCCAAATTTTGCAAAACACCCAGTTTGGTCTTTTGGGTTTTTGCTTTTCAGGGAACTAAATGTTTCCATAGCATTCAAATAATTGATGAACTTAAATTTATATAGGCATATTTGCTTTTTATCAAATATAAGAGGCCAAGCTGGTACATGAATATAAGGACCAAAGTTTAAGTTAGAGCAACAAACTTCAGGTTTGCTGGACAGGTACATTTTTAAAATTAGAAAAAATGGAGATGTAGGACATTGAGAATATTTTCCGATAAATATATAATTACATAAGAAAAACACTTTCTATTCACATATTTATTTTTTTAACCATTTAACAAAAAGTATATTACATACCAGGTATGTATTAAGTATAGACAACGAGGATCTAGGATTGCTGGAACTTCACTGAGATCCCTTTCCCCACCGTGTATTTACAAATGAATCTGTCTTCTGAAAATTAAACTATGAAAATCGTGATGAGCATAGATCACATTAAAAGCAGTCAAAATCTTCTCAAAATTGACTTTGATTTCAAGTCAGAGTAAGTTTGGTGGCAAAGGTAGAACTCCCATATTTTGAGTTTTGAGTTTTTTTTATTTTTTTGAGACGGAGTCTCGCTCTGTCGCCCAGGCTGGAGTGCAGTGGCACAATCTCGGCTCACTGCAAGCTCCGCCTCCCGGGTTCACGCCATTCTCCTGCCTCAGAGTTCATATTTATAAACTGACAGTGAAAATTTGATTTCTACTACCTATAATTTACCTATAGAGAAATCATTCACTTTCCAGAGAATTTGTCTTTAAATCTCTTTGGTGTTATAGTCCAAACTGAAAATTAGTAAAGTATCATTTATATCTATATGGGTGATAATGATGTGTCTCTATTCTAAAAAGAATAATCCAGCATTAGTGGATAGACTAATCAGATTCCTAGCATGGAGATATTTATACTATTGATAAATTCAACAACTGAATCCGACCCTCTCAAAGTTCCTGATAAACAGAATATTAACCTCTGTAGTGAAACTCAGATTTTGCAATATCTGTGAATGTGTGTGTATCCATAGATGCACACCATCTAAAATGTTCACCATACATTGTTAAGTTTCTCCACTGTATGGTAATTCCTCCTACCATTGTTAGATTTTTATATTATTTTCCTTTAGTTAATTCAACAAAAATTTGCTTTTATCCCATTTTGTAATAAGCATTAAAAAATAAATGGAGAAATACAATGTGTACATTTTCTTAAAAGTGCATATGTATATATGCAAAATAATTATGCGTCAAGATATTTGAGAAGCATTAAAAATTATTGAAGTCATGAAAACTACTTTTCAATAAAAAATTGGGAAATTAAAGGCAGCAGTTGGTAAGTGTCTTTAAAAATATTGTTATTACTACTAGTAAACATTTTGAAAATTCTCTAAAAGCTTGCTGTCTGGAGCTATGAAAATCACAAATATGGTTATTTCTAGTGCCATCTGGCACTAAATACCTGCTAAATCCTTTAAGTGCCATCTATATACCAATAGAACCCTAATACAAGAGCCAGAGTCTTTCTGTGAAAAAAAAAAAGAGAGAGGATTTATTTTGTTGATGATTTATATATGAAAAAATATAAATTATTTTTGCAGTGAAATTTTAGATTTAGTGATTTCTATTAAGTATGTATAACTTATGATTCATCTCGAAGAATACCCATTAAGAGCCCAGAGCTTTTCTATCTTTATTTGTTTTTTTGCAACTAACATACAAAAGAGAAATTGAGGCTCAACCACAATCCCATCTTTTTCTCACATGATGAAATGTAAAATATATATTAATCATGGTCTGATGACTATGTCAGGAATAAGCATGTCAGTTTCTATGTAATTTAAAGTAGAGTCTGCAGACTTAGCATAGATTTACTGTCAGAAGACGGTTTCTTAGTATTCTCAGCTATATTTACATCCAAAGTTACAGGTTTTCTTGTAGACTTCAATATATACATAGCATTCACAAAAGGTTTTCTCATGCATGCATTCTGTCATAAATATTACAAACAAATTTAATGAGAATTCACATTGCTGCCAAGCTTAGAAAAGGACAATTTTAAAACCGTATTTTGCAATTGGTATATCTGACTACCTGCAAAAACAGAAGGTCAAATAACTATCTGTCAACAATGAATTGTTTTATGATCAGATAGTTTTAAAGTTATTCCAAAGCTAGAAATACACATAGTTGTGAGAAAACAAGTCAGATAAGGAGTACTATAGGGTTGTAATTATGTAAACTCATACTGTGGCTATAAGAAAAAAATATCAATTAGTTGGGAAGCCTGAGTTTTCACTTCATATGCAGATCGATTGTCAAGGATGCAGGTTCATATAAGAAAGGAATTTCTCTTTCAAATATTCACTTTTGAGGAAATTGCCTTTATCACTTTAGAAAGCTGGGCCTCAATTCCATTTTAGCAACTTCATTATGTGATAGGCATGAAGGAAAAGTTTAAGAGGTGACACTCAACATAGATAATCTATTACTTGACATGCTAAAAATATATGCTATATTCTAAAACATTTGTTAAAATTAGAATCTTAACTTTATCTTCTGTAAGGCATCTCGTCCAATATCAGAAGCATATACTTCACCATGTATTTGTTCTTCTTTACCCTCTTTAGATTTTCAATGCCAAAAAATAATTTTACATTTAATAGATCAAGCAAAATTGGTAGAAGTAAGCACCAGTAGTATACTAAATATTCATTAAAAATGAATCATATAAATCACTTTGAGTTGTGGTCATGAATAAAGTAGATGATTCAAAAATATGTAAGAAGTAAAATTAGAAAGAAAGAATGGGATGTGTAAGGAGTAAAATCAGAAAGAATGTTTGGAATGAAGGAAGTATTTCACGGAGGAATTTTGTAAAATTCCTTAGTTCTATTAAGAGATCATTTAAAGTGAGAACAGAAATATAAGGTTTAACAGAAAAGAGTCATTAATATTCTTTCAGTAGAGCTGTGTTCTTAGAGGGACAAGGGCAGAAGACATATAAATCTACGTGGACTGAAGATGGAATTTGTGATTGTGAAATAGAATGTGTGATGAAAACTGTTTTGAGAATGTTTTGCAATGGAATATACATTATATATACATATGTCTTCCATATATTATATATATTCCATATTCTATATATTCCTTGTATGTATATATTGTCATGTATATGTAAGATATATATTATATATACATATGTATACAGTCATTGGAAAAAATATGAAATTTGATACCAGGTTTTATGTTGTCAATGTTTGGTTTTCTGTTATATTTTTAGGTTTCTTCTAATAGGAAACATTTTAGCATGTTTGCTTTAGCTATTTATTGCTACATAAGTAGCCACCTCAAGATAAAGTGTATTAAAACAGCAATGATTTACTTTTCACGTGTCTATGGGTCTATAAACTGGACAAGATTTGGCTGAGTAATTTATGTGCTCCACATGATAAATCAGTGGAGTCATTCACAGTTATAATCTGTTGCTAATTGGGCCCAGCTGAAAGGTCCCAGAAGGTTTTACTTCATGAACCTGGTTTTTCAGTACTCCTCCTCCTGACTTCTGGCTTACCATAGGATTTAACTCTGATTTCCTTATGGTTTAACAGCTGGATTCCAAGAAGGAGATTTCAAAAACAAACAGTTCAAATGTGCAAGTGCTTACCAAGCCATCTGCTTGTCTCATGCTTGCTAATGGACCACTGACCAAAACAAATCACTTGTTTAAGCCCAAAGCCAATGACAGAAGACTAGAAAAGAGTTTAGCTATCCTATTCAGAGGCATGATTCATTGGTAGAGTGCTAACATTACAGTCAGCCACAGCGTTTAAAAATCAATACAAATGGGTCAGGCGCAGTGGCTCACGCCCGTAATCCCAGGACTTTGGGAGGCCAAGGCGGGTGGATCACGAGGCCAGGAGATCAAGACCATCCTGGCCAACATGGTGAAACCCCGTCTCTACTAAAAACACAAAAATTAGCCGGGTATGGTGGCACGCGCCTGTATTCCCAGCTACTTGGGAGGCTGAGGCAGGAGAATCGCTTGAACCCGGGAGGCAGAGGTTGCAGTGAGCCGAGATCACGCCACTGCTTTCCAGCCTGGTGACAGAGCAAGACTCGGTCTCAAAAAAAAAAAAAAAAAAAAAAAAAAGAAAGAAAGAAAGAAAGAAAAGGAAAATAGTCAGTACAAATTAACCAATTGAGAGATTGAATATCTGAGAGAGAGGTTTCAATTTTTCAACATTTCACTGAATGTGGGAAGGTCTGGGTAGATTTGATTTAGACAAGAACAGGCAGAGCTTCTTTGTGGTATATCAGAAAGGAAGAGAGTGAAGATAGATGTAGATATATAAGTAGGTTTGTATCTTTAATCCTAGAAGACATTTTTCTTAGTTAGCTCTAATTTTTTTTTTTTTATCCAAAGCAGGAAACAGAATTGTCAGTTATGTATGATGGAGAAGAAAAGGGGCTGGACTTTTTAGGAGAAGAAAAAGGGCTTAAAATGGTGACAAAAATTCAGAGAGGGAGTAGCAGTGAGAAATGTATTTGAATTATCAGAGAATATTGCAGGATTATTAGGGTTTCATGATAATAAATTTTAGCAGAGACTGTCAGCCTTTTTGTATCACACAGTGTAATTTGCTAACAATTTTGCTAATGATGAGCTAAAAATAAAGCTAAAATTGAAGAAGTTGTTGATCATATAACATCTCTACTGTTAAACCTTTATGACTCTGTGAGACAATATCTCCACTTTATTGAAGCACTGTGAATTCCAAATTTTCATGGATTGCCAAAAGTTGAATGCCTGGCAAGAGGAAAAAGTCACTCATTGCTCTTTACATCACAACTATTTCCCAGAAATTCAGTGAAAAATTTGCTGAAGAGAACTCCTATTTGCTTTACTGAATAGAAGCTGTGTAGCCTGGTGAATAAGAGTGAAATTCCCAGAAGTGATAATGGTAGTAGGGTAGCAATGTTTGGGTTTTAATGGCGGCTTCACATTTACTAATTATTTAACTTTGGAAAAGCAGTGTAATCTCCATATCTCCTTTTTTCTTTGTCCCTTCATCCATCTCTCTCTCTCTCTCTCTCTCTCTGTCTCTTGCACTGGGACCATCCGCCATTTGATGTTTTCTCAGAGAAGAAATATCCTTTCATCTCTTGAATCAGAATTGTCAGACTATGCAATGCAAGGATTTAATTTAATAAGATAATACTGTAAGGTGCTTAGCTTAGTGCCTGACATATACTACACATTCAGTAAATGATAGATATATTGTGGTGATTGTAAGTTTCCAAGTTTAGTACCAATCAAAATATATTTATCATTTTAAGAAGAATAAAATGCTAGGGACTACAAAATAAAAACTGTCAATATTTCTACCTGGAGCAATGATCATTTTCCTATAATCATTTATAAAGCACCTGTGATGTATCAGTTAGCCTACTAAGTATTAGAAGCTGCTTATTAAATTAATGAAATGAGACATTCCTATATGGCATATTTTCAAGTTTATTTTGCTGGTTTGCCTTTTCCTGCCTTCCACTGTTTTCAGGAATTCAAAATTGATTTGATATAACTGAAGCAGAAAAATTATTAGTAAAGTATGTAAGTAAATCTGGCAAATAATTTTCCATTCAGGCAGGCGCAAATGGAAAACTGATCCACAAGTAATCAGTCCCCTTCGTTCCTGAGCCTAGTAAAAACCATAGCCAACAAGAAAAAATAATTAGAGATGCTAAAATCCTCCAAGGCATTACAAAATGAAATCTCAGTTAATTTGAAATTATTATTAATTTTCAATTATCTACAAAATCCTTGCTTCCTTTGCAGTGTGTGTGTCTGTGTGTGTGTGTGTGTGTGTGTGTGTGTGTGAATAAACCATATCTAATTGAAGCCTTGATTGACTAGTTAGTAGATGTTTCATATGACATATGCATATCCATATTGCATATACTGACTACACATTACTATGAAATTTTAAGTATATTTTAATTATGTTAATAAAGAAACATTATTCTTTCATTTACGATGTTTTGTTTTTTATCCGTTTTGTTTTTACCTGATTGCCTGTGATAGAGGAAAGCTAACTCTATATACAGAGAATGTGTAATTTAATTCAGGGCTTGGTTTGGGGAGTTAAATGTGAGAGAGCTGGCTAAGGAATTAGAAAGAACGGCAAGCTCAATGGTTAGGAGAGAGGAAATCATAGAATATATTCACGTGTTATGCCTCAGGCATACGTAACAGTGTGTCTGAAAGCCATTAATTCAAAATTAGACTTTAGAGGTTAGTAGTAACTGCATGTATGTATCTTACACTTAATTTGGATCACTTAGATATGTATCCTTATAAATCAGCATTTGTAATACAGAACCTAAATAAATAGCCATTACAATTTATTTTAGAGGAAATTATGGCTAATCAGTCATAATTTTCTGTGGCAAAATTCTGACTTGAGCAGATTTACACTAGGGAACTGTGGTTTGTCATAACCATTGAATTATATTCACAAGGAAATTCAAATTAATATTTAATTATGTAGTTTCTACAGTTGTTAAGAAAAGATATAATGATCATACCAGAGCAGTGATAAACATGGAGTAAAACGACCTCTTCTCATAAATTGCTTTTTATATTTTCCAAAAATACCAAGGAAAAATATCAAAACTGATTTAACATATATTGCTTAAATAACAATGAAATAAACAACAATGCATCGAAGGTAGTCTACGTTTGTGAAATATACTCTTGAGTGCCAGAGTAATCACCAAGCAACACATTGTTGGAAAGCATCACGGCCTCACACTCCAAGGCAACTGTGAGCTTTCTAGGAGGGTTACATTATGCAATCACTGTGAGCTGCCTTGCTTTGAATCTCAGCTCCACCACGTACCAGCTGTTCTACTTTAGGCAAGTTACTTAATCTTGTGAGTCTGAATTTTATTCTTTGCAAATTGAAGATAACATCACTTTTGTTCACAGAATATGAGAATTTAATAATAAAAATAATAATAAATTTAAAATTAAATTTGTTATATGCAAACTGTGGAGTCTGGCACTACTTCAGGTGTCTTACATATATGATATTACATAATATACTGAACAATTACATGAATAAGACATTATTATCAGCATTTCAAGAATGAGAAACTGAAGCCTAGAGGGAATTAGTGATTCACCCAACACGCAACACATTAGGAACACTTCAAGATCACCTGGCTGTCCCATTCCCTCTCCCGCAGCCTGATATTTTTTCTTCTGAGATTTTAGTGTCTACTAAATTTCCTTTGCAGCCAATCTTTGGAAATTCAAACAGCTTCCTCATTTATAAATAACTTTAGCATTTCCCCCTTTGCAGAAAAACTCAAGTCCTCCTTCCCCACATGCAAAATAAAGTGAATTATTGTAAGAAACTAAACAATAGAAACTGAAGACTTAGGTGTATATCATTCAGAAATGGATGCAACAGTTACTTATTGAGCTCCCACGTAGTGGGAATTAAATGGTAAAATCACTTAAACATATGAATGATTAATTTTTGAAGACTAGGATCACAGAAACTGAAACGCAGGTATCTCCATTTAGAGTATCCTGATTGGTGTCCACCATTCTCAGGGAGAGTGGGGGAAGCAAGTAGTTGGCCAGGAATAAAGATAATTCAGTGGCATGTCTCTGATTCATAAAGTGAGCATGCAGATAAAAGTAAACATTCGCATATTATTTAGTATTTTTTGGTTACTTTCAGATAAATAGCTGAGGTCAGTGCCTCTTATAAGTCGTTGGTTCTACATTTGACATCAGAGATCCTAGGTTTTACAGTCTCTGTCCTGCATCAAACATATTCTCCAGTTTACATTCAACCCAGACTCCACAGCTTATGACTTGAACACATTGTTTAATTCCTTTAAGCCTCATTTTGGCAACATAATAGATGGTGATGATGATATTTAAATTACAAGTTAGCCAAATTTAAATAAAAGATATTTAAAGCACTTCCCATAGTATCTAATATATAGTAAAATGCTGTAAACACAAGTAATCACTATTATCTATTAAGAAGATGATGGATCAGGACTTAGGAAGCACCAAGCCTTAGGAAACCAAATCTTTTGAGGTGGATAGGAAGCGTGCCTGTCCTTTCTTCTCTCTTCAAAGGCTACTCACTACAAAAATATTCTTGCCAGGACAGATCAAAATAAAGATCCATCAGTTTTTCTTCTGGAAACATATGCTGAAATGGCAGAGAAACATGAAGAGTTATCTCCAAACAGATATCAGCAGTATCAAGAATGGTTCCTTATTTAGCATCAAGGTCAAAATCATTTTAAGTCAGCACTTAAATCAGAACGTGCAAACTCAAATGCTTTCAGAAGTTAGAAAAGTTACAAGGAAAAGAAGCTCAACTATATGTTGTATAACACAGAACAGTTATTTATATTTAAAACATTGTGAAGGACCAGATGCTATAGAAATATTAGCTCATTTAATTTTCAGAATAACTGTAGGAAAGAGGTACTATTATTATTGTTTCTATCTAATAGGAGAGGAAGCTGACACCTAGAGAGGGTAGGTAAGTTGTGCCAGGTCACATTTCTAATAAGTAGTAGAGCCAGGTTTTGAGCCCAGGCCGTTGGGCTCCAGGTTCATTAGTCTTAACGGCAATCTATCTCTGCCTGTATCTCAGTGACTCAGGCAATCTAATGAATCAACATCTGTTAAAAATTACTCCCTACCCTTGCCCTCTTTTATTCTTAACTGCACTTTGGAGAGGAAAACATGCATATATTCTGAACCAGACTCATATCAATTCTTGACTTAATTAAATTTAAGCTTTGACGGTGAAAATAATATGCAAAATAAACTATCTTCTTTCTTCTTAAAGGAAAATAACTGGCTGTTTTGAGTTATGTTTGGCTGATGCATGTATGTGTGGTAGGAAGACATTGCAAGTAAGGGAATTTCTAAGGTTTTATACAAGTTGGATTTTCTGAATAACATAAAACAAAATGTTTTGTTTATAAAGCCTCCAGAATAGGAGACAGAATGCACTTATTTGAATCGAGCATTTCAATGGATTACCTTTTCTGTAACAAGTGTGGAATACAGCAGCAAAACCAATTAATACTCAGTCATATTTCTTTTAACTCATCAGTAAAGCATAGAGGAAGAAGAAAGAAATATAGGAAGAAAGGTTTTCAATCTCAACCAAATTGTGTGGCCTCCATACACCTCATAAGCTCTGCTCCTAGCCAAGCAAATGATCTAATATTAATATCTGTCATACAGAAAGGCAATGTTGTCTTTTAATGATGCCCTTTCTAGCTCTAGAGTTCAATTCTTCCTTCACACATTAAGACAGTGTCAAAAAATTATAATGACTAATGCAAGGTTGAATTTTAGCACTCCTTGTTAAATCCAAGTTTCCAAAGCATGTAGTTTCTTTCTCATTTTATAGCAGCTCCCTTCAGTTACAGAAAAAAAAAATAGTATCCAGGTTTTAGTGGCTTAAAAATTAAAATTATCTGCTATTATCCTTGGAAACATATATTCAATTATATAAAATCTTATTCTTAATATATGACATTGCTTTCTAATAAAAAAATTCAGACATGTCATTTGGTCTGTACGATGTGTTACAAAATTCACTTTTCTTTGCTATTTGCAAAATAAAAATCAACTTCATCAGACTGGTTGCTGAAGACAGAAAAATAAAGACATTATCTCATCAAGGACCAGTGTAACTCTTCCCCTCCTTGAAGATCCTAAAGAGAACACTGAAGGTGTAGAACCTAATTAAAATGTAACTCGGAAGTATAAAATTTGTTTTTAGATTTCTTAAGCTAAGTTACCTACCAGACTGTAGGTGCTTTCATGCTGCTTTTTCTACCTCTGCTACTAAAATTAATTTTCAGAGAAGTTTTCATTAAATCAGAGAGGTTTATAGATTGAATGAGATTTAGAAATTACCTTCCCTCTCTCCTAACATGATCTTTACAATTTTACATTTGTAATTACATTGAATTGAATTGAAATTGAAATGGTATTTGAGAATGGATGGTCAAACATATCAGGTTCTGACTGACCATTAATGTAGTCTTCTACATCTAACACACTTCATATATAGAGAACTTAACTTGATTGCTAGCACTTAAAGTTTTCTTTAAATTTTGGACAAAATAAATAGTACTTTTACAGAGACAATAATCATGAGAAGGGAAATAAAACTTCCTTGAAGGGTGGAATATAGATATTGGCAGTACCTAAATCACATACTTGAACTTTCAGTCTCCTATGACTGTGAATAACACCAACTCATTTAGGTGGCTATCACTGCTTTGAGTCCATTGGTCATGGTAGCCATGCCTTAGAAAATGGCATATATTCAAAATGCCTAGCAAAATGTGGATATTGCAAGGCTGGAACCGTCCAGAACTATAGTTTTCCTGTCTTTTATAGAGTTCTAGGCTAGTGGGGGAAGTGGGGCTAGGATTGACAGGTGACATGTCAACCTTAATACCTATATTGATAAAAAGAAATTTCCAGCCATCCTGTAGTAACATGTTTCTGAGTTTCATTGTTAATGAAGTCGGGCCATCCCATGGCTTCTCATATTGAATCTTTAATAGTGTGAAAAGAACTAAGATAAACAGGCCACATGTTCAAAAAAAGAGATTGCACTCCTTATAGAAATGAAATTTTTTATTACGATTAATATTCCAAATGTGTTTCTGTGGCTACTACAATTAGAAAGCAGCTCCTTTTGGAATTTTAAAATGAAAACTTATGGAAAATGAGCCTAATAAAAATATTATACTAAATTATAATTTTCCATTTTAAAATTCCAACAGAATTTGTCCTGGTGTGTTCATAAAACATGTAATATCATTAGAAAATCTGCTAACATATAAATTGGAAAATTGTATATGCTGTGCTGATGAACACTGAGCATTTGAAAGTTTTTGATTTCCTCATCTTTGTCAGGTATCTTTTTTTTCTTCATCTATAAGTCTTTCTGCCAAGGCTGTGCAGGGGATTTAACAGCAGGAAAATAAGGAAGTAGAAGCAGATTCAGGACGAAAGAAGGATGAAAAAGGCCTTGTTAAAATAATGAAAATTAATTGTGCAAAATGCATTTATTTGCTAAATAAATTAGAATTCTTGAATATTAGCATCACTCATAATAGAAGTTGCTGTAAAAATATTCCTTGTAAATATCTAATTTGACCCACTTCAGATCCTTCCTTCGATCTACAAAGGAGATGATATTAGTTATCTAGCTATGTAAGGTTCCTCAGTGAGGAGGATATATGATATGATTATAAAAGAATAAGCCAGATATTTCCATAAGAAATATGGAAAAACACACCTGTCTTTTAACATTAGGCATTAGAAATCCAAGGTAATGCTTTACTCCCATCCATGACATCAGGTTTTGTTGCCTGTTACCACTGCTATCACACTATTAGAAGAGTCTCATAATAAGACCTCTGCAGGTCTCTCTCCCCTATAGATTCACAGTGTGACAGCTTGTGGAGTTAAATATATCTCAAATGCCTTCTCACTGCAGAAAACTCTCACAGTCGGAGAGATATTCCAAGATTCTTCCCTGTATGGGAGTATAAGGAACCCTCAAGTGGAAGAAGGTTATAAGGACTTCTGCATACTGAGTAAAAATATCTTTGGATGCTTTGCTAGCAGGGCAAGAGGGAATATTTTGAGACATCCTGCTGAGTCCACTTAGATTTATCAAGAACACTCATTTAGAAATGTTACTCAGCTCCTTGAAAAGTAAAATAATATGAGAATCCCAAAGTAAAACACATCGCAGTGGTTTCTACCACACAACAGAGCAAATATTATTTAATTCCATACATTGTGCATACACAGACTTGATGTCTGAAGTATATTACTGTGAATCTTCTTTTAAATACAATGTAACCTAGGACTCATATCCTGCCCTGGCAGACTCTAAACTCAAAATTACTTTTAGAAGTGACTAATAAACACACAAATCTTTGTTCTGTGTCTAGTCACTAAATGAAAGTGTTAAGAAATCACTGAATGCTAAAACTTGATTTCACAGTACATACATTTCTGACATAGAGAGAGTGAAAAGAAAATACAGCTCAAATCTATGAAAATAAAGATTCATCTTCTTCAATCAGAGAATAAAATGGAATGCATGCAGAAGGATAACTAACTCTGCCTGAAAAAGGGAGCAATTATCTTCATGAATAAAGAAGTATCTTCATAACTATTACCTTTACACTTTTAAAAGTTATTAACTAGATATTCCTATACAAACGGGTAGAGTTGTTAATGATTAGGTTAGATATATCTGAATAATGTCGCTGAAGTATACTTTAAAATAATTCATTCTATTAAGTTTTATTCTACCTTGTATTCACTTTTTCCTCTCAAATATATATTTTTATTTTAGCAAAACTGTTTAATGGATCTAATGTTACTAATGCATAGAATGAAACACTTTAGCTGGTGTAGCATACATTTCACATAATGTTTAGAAAAGTAAAGTTGTTCATTTCTGTTTATATGTATAATCACAAACGCATTAACCTAAAAGTAGTTCCTCCCTCTTTTAGACATTTTTGTGCATCTAGTGGAGCTTTAAGTATTCAGATGTTAAAATAGTTTACTTGCCAAGTACAGCCAAGGAACCCAGAATTCCATGACCCACACCCGTAACCCTGGCTGAGGGGCTATGAGTAACAGCCAATAATGCTACAAAACACAATTTTTGCTTCTTTTCTTTCATTATTACTTATCATTGCTAAATACAAAATGCTAGCTTCTATTAAGCCTGCTACCAAAGCTTTTATCTCTGCTCTCTGCTTCATAATAGCAGATGCTGCTGTGATATTCTATAGTGTCTTTATGTGGTTGTCTATACTGCAAAGCATTGTACATCATTTTATTACAGAGAGTGGATCAAGAGCCGGGTAGGATAAATTAATCAGTTATCAACAAATGCATGAAACACATCAAAGTTTTATAACTTATCCTGTTGCTAGAGCAATATCCATCTTCAGGACACCTATTCACTTAGAAAGAAACATGACAGGCGGAGGCTAGTTTTGCTATTTAAAATCCACTGAAAGTTATATTTTGTTGTACAATGTGATGATCTCGGTAGGGAATTCAGAAAAAAAGTTATGCTTGTTTGTAAATTTAGAGATGTTCAAATTTCCTTATTATTGTGTTATCTGGTAATATTAAAACTAGATTTTTGTTTCACTTCTAAACTTACCAAATGTGTTAAAAATATTTTACTTGCTTAGAGCCTCTCTAGAGAATTGGAAGAGAGTGTTATTTTCATTTTACAAAATCAAACACTGATTTCCAGGGAGCTTATATATTTAAGTTCAGGAGTTGATCACAGCCTTTTTCATTCTCTGTACATACTTCCAAAATTTACATGAAGCCCAAAACTAATTTTACAGATCCATCTTCTAGCAACCACTCTGTTTGTTTTGTGTTCTATAATACTACACTAAGCTAAAAATTAATGTAATGTAATCTCTGAATAAACTATAGATTTCTCTCTTCTTCTGAAGAACAAAGGTTATAGCCTTATATATTGCATTTCAGTTCATCTTGGTTACTTATAAAATAAAAGCATTTTATGTTATTAATTATTGAAAGCAACTCCTAAAATATATATTCCAATCTGAATTTTCTTTTTCTACCTACAAGTCTAGGCTTCTATGAGTATAATTCTCCTTAATAGCCAACATTTAATACACAAATAAAATCTTACAAATTCAGAGTTGTCTAATGATAACACTGAACTGGAATGAATCTGTGGATCAGTGCTGTTCTTCTTCATCTTTGTTCCAAGTTGAAACACAAATATTATAGGCTAAATATCATAACTATGATTAAACAAATTTGCTTTTGTTTGCATAAATATATGCTGTTTGGTAGTGGTGTTTCTCTATAATATATGAACTTAACTATTTTCTTTTGTTAATTATTTTGATAATGATAACATAATTGCTGGCAATGAAAATTAGGTGAATTATTTATTAATGGCCATTTTAGGTTAATATTTTATATGCTTGAGGTTGTTTAATCATCAAAAAAAGCATGTGAGGTAGACACTATTTATATACCCCTAAAACAAATGAGAAAACTGAGGCAAAAATTATATATTAGATCTAATATATAAAATTAAAAAATAGATTTAAACAGTTACAGAGCTAGTTGATAAAAAGGCAAAAGGTGAACTGAACTCAGGTTTATGTGGTGAGACAGCTTCTACTTTAAGCAACATAATATTCTGCATCCATATTTTCAATTTATTAAGTAATACTGTCTCCTAGAATTAAATTGTTTTATATTTACACGTCACAGTCAATAGATTATGTATATGTCCTTCATTCTCATGAGGGCGGCACACACAATTTAAAAATGGAAGAATACCGATTAATGTAGGGAGAGCTAAGGCTCCAAGTTCTATTAAACTCATTGAATGGTACAGATTTATATAGTTTTTAAATTTTTAAATTCAATGGTAATATGAAGATGAAAAACGTTGAAGTCATTCCCAAGGTATAATAATAACAACATCGAGAGCAGATGACTTTTAACACCCATCTCCTCTATAAACAAAATTATTGTTGTTATAATAAATCAAGTGGATAATATTAATAACAACACAAAGAGAATGCAACCGTTAATATTTTTATTGAGTTTTCTGTTTATAACAGAGCCGATGGATTTAAGTAAAAATAAGAAATAAAAAAAATTTCATTATTCAAATGGAAAAAGTTATCAAATAATACTTTTAATTGGCCGGGTGCGGTGGCTCATGCCTGTAATCCCAGCACTTTGGAAGGCCGAGGCGGGCGGATCACGAGGTCTGGAGATTGAGACCATCCTGGCTAACATGGTGAAACCCTGTCTCTACTAAAGATACAACAAAAATTAGCCAGGCATGGTGGCGGGTGCCTGTAGTCCCAGCTACTGGGGAGGCTGAGGCAGGAGAATGGCGTGAACCTGGGAGGCGGAGCTTGTAGTGAGCCCAGATGGCGCCACTGCACTCCAGCCTGGGTGACAGAGCAAGACTCTGTCTCAAAAAAAAAAAAAACAAAAAAACTTTTAATTATATTAGCATATTTCTAAAAATATATATATACTTTGCACCTTTCACCATTTTAAATATTAAACATTAATAAAATGATAATTGATAAAAAATTATTAAAATTTCAAGTGGTCACAAATAAGAGTATTGAAGCATTGCCTATTCTTTGACTGTATGCTCACAATTTCTGTGTTTATTTCAAGTCTACCAAAGCACTGTAAAGTTTGGAGACATAATGTGTACTCAGAATTATTAGTGAAATAATATAAATTTGAAGTTTTTTAAAGACTCTGCACACACTTATTGCCAGCATCAGGAAGATGGCTCCTGTTACTTCAACCTTGGTAGACAAGTGCTCACACCTAATTGTAATTATGCAAAATTATCTAATGAATGTGTACTTTGTGTCAGGCAAGAATATGAAGTCTGGAGACACAGTGGTAGACATAGTTCCTGACAGGAACTTTCTGAAGAAATGCTTTTTAAAATTAAGATTTGAATGATGGAAATTTGTGTTCCATAGAAAGACATAGAAAAAATAAGTTACAGATAGAGGTGTAAAGCACATGTACAGGAGCTCTGAGCTTGAGGTATTTGGAAATTTGTTTTAAAAAAGGCTATAATAAAGAATTTAAAGGTATCAAAGAGTTTGTTATTTTAAATAGAAGACTGTGATATTATTTGAATTTCCAGCCTATTTGGAGCAAGAAATTGTGTGAATCAAGTGAGACAGCAGAGTTGGGAGCCAAGTCTTAGAATATTTACTTAAATATTTTTAATATGTTATGCAAGGCATGAAATAAAGACAATTAAATAGGACCACATAAAATAATTCTAAATATATTGCAACTAATTTAAAGTTAAGTGACATCTCATGGTTTCTGAGATTGGTATCACGAATGTCTTAAAACTAAATATTTTATGCCATTTACTTTATCAAAAGCCTTTATATATTCAATTTTCTAATACTATATTTGATGTTAGTTTGAGAAAGCTACTAACTCCTTTTTAATATTCATACAATAAATGTTTTATAGCATAGAAAGCATTCTTACTCATTTCAAGTGGATTTTTGAAAAAGACCAAAAAATAATAAATGAGAGCTCTAACCAAGACATAGATACCGTATAAATGCCTGTTTTCTGATTGAAAGATTTCCTATTTTAACAAAATAATATATGAAAGTAAGTCTATGAAAATGATCCTATCTTGTCTTGTTTCTTGTATTTTTTATATTACTGAAAATTAGTAATTTGGCTGCTAACTTTTATAGATTTAGGTTAAAGTCTACAAAATTATTTAGTAAGTGTATCTACACATTTGAAGTAAGTTGATGTCAAGTTCAAAAGGAAATATAATTGCTTCTATACCTGTCTTTGCCTGTATTTTGAGACCAACATAATGTGATGCTCTTTTAATACAATGCTATAATAACTAAATACAAAAACTTAATGTAATGACATAATTGTTTAATGCCTTAACTTACATTTATTTATAATTTGTTCTCATATAAGTATATGTATATATATGTGTGTGTGTGTGTGTGTGTGTGTGTGTGTGTGTGTATATATATATATATATATATATATATATATAGATGGGAAAAAGATCTTTGGATTATGAGACTGACTTTCCACGAAGAGGATACTGTCACTGTTACCTTCTTTCCAGTCATTAGGCAGATGCTTCCTGGAATTGCATAAACTTATCCTATTTGATAAACAGGATTTTAGAAATCTGGTAATATTTCAAGGAAAACAGAAAACCTTTTTTTGCCTGCATCGTATTCCACGGTGTGTATGTGCCACATTTTCTTTATCCAGTCTATCACTGATAGGATTCATTTGTCAATAGAGTATTTTATAGCAGCTCTAAAAATTTGAAATTAACAACCAAGAATTTAAAGCTAGGTAAATATGGCTTTACATGAAAGATCATATCTATCATTCATTCATATATTTACAGACATCTACTAAGCTCTTTCTATGTGCTAAGACCTAAGGATGTAGAATAGTAAGCAGGATGAAGTTCCTGCTCACAAACAGGTTAAAGTTGACATCTAGAAACAATTATATAGGCATTTAGGATTCACAATGTTAGGTCAAGAAAAAATAATGTTAATATTACTTTTGGGAAGAAATAAAATTCCATGAAGAAGTAATAAAAGCTAAGATGAAATTTTAACAGGAAGTAGAAATAAATCACTGGAAGCAGGGGAGACTATACCAGAGAGATGGAGAAAAATGGGCAAAGGACAGCAACAATAAAAATGAAAGCACTTCACTGGCATAATCTATGGAGGAAGTTGTGTCTGAAGGAGTTCAGAGTGTGAAAGGAGCCTAGGAGGGTTACTGAAGCAACTCAAGAAAGACCATGTAGACTACATTAAGTAGTTTACATTTTATCTTCACAGCAATGAGAAAGCATTGGCGGTTTTATAAACAGAGTTTCAGAATAATCAGATTTGAGTTTTAGAGTTTCTGAGTTTTAGAAAAATCACTCTCAATGCAATTTCAGTTTCAGTTTTGGGAATAGAATCTATTTTGTTTCCCTTTAAAAGCAACATTAACAATTTTTTGACCTATTACATTTTAAAAGCCTATATTAAAGGTAGTTTGTTGGCCGGGCACGGTGGCTCATGCCTATAATCCCAGCATTTTGGGAGGCGAGACGGGCGGATCACGAGGTCAGGAGATTGAGACCATCCTGGCTAACACGGTGAAACCCTGTCTCTACTAAAAATACAAAAAAAAAAAAAAAAAAAAAAATAGCTGGGCGTAGTGGCGGGCGCGTGTAGTCCCAGCTACTCGGGAGGCTGAGGCAGGAGAATGGCGTGAACCCGGGGGGCAGAGCTTGCAGTGAGCCGAGATTGCGCCACTGCACTCCAGCCTGGGCGACAAAGCAAGGCTCCATCTCAAAAAAAAAAAAAAAAAGGTAGATTGTTACAAGCAATAGATGAAAAGAACACCTTCCTGCACTTAGCTGTGTACTTGTGACTAAGTTCTAGCCAATGGTATCAGTATGCTGCTTACAAGCCTGGGTCATAAAAATTTTAATCACTCTTCTTCTTCCTCCATTTGTTTAGTAGAGAAGACTATGAAGAGAAACAAGGTAGAGGAAGGCTGAATTCTATATGATTGCATTTAGCAGAACTCCTCCAACCAACTAATCTACATTGTACCTCAATATGAGTAAAACTTTCATTTTCTATTTAATTATACTACTTAAAATTTAGAAATACTTTGTTTCAGGACTAATCCTAAATTATATAAAAATTATGTGTTAAATGAGGTTATGCCATGCAAAATAATAATAATAATAGAAAGAAGGAAGGAGGGTAATATGGTTTGGCTCTGTGTCCCCACCCAAATCTCATCTCAAATTGTAACCCCCATGTATTGAGGGAGGGACCTCGTAGGAGGTGATTGGAAAATGGGGGGCAGTTTCCCTCATGCTGTTCTCATGATAGTGAGAGAGTTCTCATGAAATCTGACAGTTTTTAAAATGGCAGTTTCCCCTGCACTCTGTCTCTCTTGCTGCCATGTAGGATGTGCCTTGCTTCCCCTTCACCTTCTGCCATGATTGTAAGTTTCCTGAGGCCTCTCCAGCCATGCAGAACTGTGAGTTAATTATAACTCTTTCCTTTATAAATTACCCAGTCTCAGGTATTTATAGCAGTGTGAAAACAGACTAAGACAGAAGGGAGGGAGTAGGGGAAGAAGGGAGGGAGGAAGGAAGGAAGGAAGAAGGAAGGAAAGAAGGAAGGAAGGAAGGAAGGGAGGGAGGCTGGCTTAACATTTAATAACAGACAGCAAAGAAGCAGATATTGAAAGGTCCTTTTATTTCAGGAGGAAGGAAGGAAAGAAGGAAGAGTAATTGGCTTAACATTTAATAACAGACAGCAAAGAAGCAGATATTGAAAGGTCCTTTTATTTCAAAGTGAAAAGTTTGGCAAAACTGTTGCATAATAACTTCTAGAGGATTGAAGAGAGTGAAATAATAGTGAGCATTGCTTCTTATTAGCCATATAAAATATCGTATTATATAAAGAGATAACTTTAGATAAAAATTGGCTATTGTGCAAATGGAAATTAAAGTAGACTGAATTTCAAGAAAATTGTGGTGTTTAAAAGGCATGGAACTACGTGTTTTGAAAATCAGAAATCTGTTTTTTTATTGAGGCCATGGAGGTTCCTGAAATCATCCAGAAATAGTATGCTGAGAGAGACAAAAATAAAGTTTTGGATGGGAAAGCAAAGATGTTCTAGAAAACCCTAAACTTTGATTCTGTGGCAATTGTGTAATCAAAACCTACAGCGAGTTTTTGCTTCAGTTTTGTGTTAGTTTGGTTCTACTGAAGGCATGTTACCGAGAGCTGCATTTGGGGTTTATGAAGAAAACATAGTATCTTTTCTTTGGCATACCCTCATTGATTTGAATATTGTGGAGACAGACAGAGAAGCTAAAACTCCTACTGTCTGTAATATTTGCTAAGAAATATCTTCTTCAAGTTCCAAGAGAACAAGTATAACATAAACACAGAAAATAAGAAATTTTCTTGATTTTTCATTAAGCAAAGAGTAACTTTAGATCAATGAAGACTGAAGTATTATTTTAACATTATAAGGTTAGCAGCTTTAGGACAATACTGAAACTAATCCAGCATAAACACAGTGTTGTAATCGTGCAGAGAGAAATAGTTCTGGGGAAGTATCACCCTCAAATCTACTCTTTAAAGAGTATTTTGAATGGAACTTTTTCTGCCATTTCTGATTAAAATCCTAAACCATTATGTCTAGAAACAATACTTTTCTTTTCCCTCCAGAAGCAGCCTTCCCCCTTCCCTCCTTCCTTCCTTGAATGTTCTGTTGTTCAAGAGGCCCTACCTTTCTCACTTCAGAAATAGTAACTGGGAAAAATACCCTATTCTCCAGAGATAGTTATTGATACAGGGCAAAGAATCGGGATTTATACACCCTGAGACAGATTATCTCTTTCCTTCTAGGCAATCCTGGCACTCCTTAAGAGCTTTCTCTTCTTTATGAACACACATTTAAATCTTCTTTTCTACAGAAACTATCATCAACTGAAATAGTATATATGTCATTCATTTATTTATTGTTTGTTTGTCTTCCTTTACTAGAATTCAAGCTCTTCTGTAGAATAAGTTAGTCCTGGCACTCTCTATGAACATTCTCTCCTCTACAGATAATTTCTTCCCACTGAATTTATCACCATCTGAGATATTACATATGCTAAACAATCATTTATTATTGTTGGTCCTACCTCTCTAGAATCTCAGCTGCTTTGGGTCATGGATTTTTGTCTTTCTGATCTTGCTGAATTTGCAGTGCCTAATCAGAGCCCTGCCACTTTGTGCAACCCCAGGGTAAACATTCCCTTATTATCATCTGCCTGAAACAATGTCTGGCTTGGAAAAAATTGTTCCTCTTAGCCACCAGGTGCAGAAAAGCTACCTGCAAACAAAGCCAATATGTAAGGAAATTGCAAGTATAAGAGAAAGATTAAAAAAGGCATTTCTGGAAACAATGAGAACAGCACAGCTAATTCAACTTCATGATATCCAATTAAAGAAACAAATACAATTCACTTTTCGGTTAAAGCTAATTAGCTATAGACTTTTGTCACTTGCATGCAGAAGAATCATGATAGATAGAAAAATTATAAAGTATTAGACTTATTGTATGTAAAAGTTTCTAAACTGTAAGATTGGCTCAGTCACAGTGGGATTGAAGCATAGTGATTATAACCCAACCCTTACTTCACAGGATGGCAACCTGTATTCTGGGATGGCAAAACACCTTGTTAGGAAGGATATTTTTCTATTTAGGAACTCCAAAAACAAGCATATTGAACAAGTGAATTGATTGAAAATATAAGGATGTTGAATTTTCTTGGCTACTGCTCATGGTCACCCTACAAACATGGCTTAAGTCTCAGTCCAAAAAAAAAATTAGCCCTGCGAGGTAAGGCCCTAACTGGTATAAAACCACATACCAGGAAGGAGTCATTGGATAATCCTGTCCTTTGAAAATGTGTAAAAGCTACCTTCTTTGCTCAAATATAAGGTCAGCATAAAAAGAGGTAGAGGGACAAGAAGCCTAGCTAGAGAGGAAACCAGAACACAAAGTCCATCCCTCTGGCGAAAGTGATAATTATATATGTCTCCTCATACCCGGCCCTAGTGAAGCAGCTCAGGGAAGCAGGCTCTGACACTCCCTCATAACCCATGCCATTCTTCCCCTAGGCAGAAGCCAACTGGAGGCTAAGCCCTGAAGTCTGCTGGCCAGACCTAGAATCTTCAAGAGCAAGGTCTAATTTCAAAAGTCATGATATTAAAAGAAATGTTTGATGCTCTTAGTTCAAAGAAATGTTGGTAGACTTCAGCTTAAAGCAAGTCTATTGTCACAGTTCTAAATTAATACATTTAGGTTAACCTTTGCAAGTGCTTGAGACAATTCATAGGCTAAAGAAAAATTCTCTCAATAGCCATTGCACAATTGGCCTTGAACAAAAATAATCTCTCAGGAAAAAGCTCAAAGAACATAGATTGACTTAGCAATTAACTCCCCACACTGCCATATTAGAATTCCTTGGGGTTTTGTATTTGTTTCTTTTGTTGTTGTTTTAGTTAAAAGGCTAATGTTTATTACTCCATCTCTGAAATAGATGTGGTATTTTTCAGTAATTATATTCCCTGTAGCATTATATAGAGAGTGCTTTTGGTAGACATATAATGTAGCACTTAGGATAAGTAGTAGAATAATAAGAGGCTATATCCAAGCCTGAATAACATCTCCAAATTCTGGGCTTCAAGCTAGGTGTAGTGATTAGGTAAGTCTTTGGGTTGCCCTACACACATAAAATCGCATATTTGTGCATATTTCATTTGGGATAGTGACATTTTATTAGGCAGAATTCAAAAGACAATTATGATAAAGCTGTGAATAAATGCTGAGCAATCAAAACAGACTGAATTTATGATAAAACTATTCTTTTGGCTGTCAAGAATTATATTCTTTTTCATTTTCTACCTGCCGAGTTTCCCTTTCCCCCTCCGCCCCCAGCTCTCTTTCTCTTTCTCTCTCTCCTCTCAACTATCTTTTACTTTCCAAAGAACTAGAAATGGGTACAATGACAGAGTCAGCCTGGTCAATCAATGACATCCCTCAACACACATTTCCCTTAATGACTGATCAAAGATTGGATGAATACCTGTCCCAAGTAGCAATATTAAACATTTTTAAAGAATTTATATGAATTCTGAGAAATCATAAGACCTTGTATGCTTGAAACTACTAGTATCCATTTTTCCATCAAGAGTAACACACTGAGAATGAAAATATAAAACACACCGGGGAGACAAAACTAAAAGATGAATAGAAATATAGTCAAAATGGCAATATCCTAATGATGTATGAATATCTAGATCCACCTGAATCTGTTTCCAATATAACCATCAGGCTTTTCATTCATATAAGCCAATTTACTTATTTTCTCTTTGCATAAACTACTTTAAACTGGAGTCCCTTAATTGATTAATAGAGTTTGTTAGCCAGGAATACTAATGCAGCTATATTGCTATGATTTTATTTTTACATACAGACCCTTATGGCCTGGGAATACCTTGCTAATGTTAGAGACCTGGAGAGACAGAGAAGCAACACAAACATGAAAGTCTCAAGAATCTTCCAGAAATTTGGTAAGAAATCCAGGACCATTTATAACATTAGCAAATCTAAGATAAGACTTGTTTAGGAAAGCAGGCAACATCATGTTTTTAAATGTTGCAGAGGCTCTAATAGGATTCAGAAACATATATGAACTGGATTTAGTAAAAATGAGTTTGTTGAGAGGGCAATTTTAGTGAAACCAACATATGAACAGTGTTACTTATAGCTAGATTAAGTTATATGTTCATTTCATATATACTTTAAAACAATTTTCAGGAATTCCTTACCTTTGGAGACTGAAGTTATCAGTGCATTAAGTTCAATTCATTCACACTGTGACACCTGCCCATTTCTCAGGCTGAAAAATGTAATGTTGTTATTAGTGTAAGGAAGGAATATCAAGTATTTCTATGCTGTTATGTTTAGAAGACCAACAGCTTCTCCTAAATCTCTCTTCAGTAGTGTCAAATACAAAACTAAGTCTGAGATAAAATTAACAAACCCATTTATTTGTAAATGTAAAACAAGGAAATTCATCTGCAATCACTTAAGTTTCAGCAGCAGTTAAAAGAGTTTGAAAGGAGAGTATACTCTAGAGAGTAAAAAGAAAAAATACTCAAACAATTTTTGTTTGGAAAACTTCCTATTAGGTAGACATTTTAGAAGTGAATGAGACTTCCTAATTGGTTCTCAGGTATATTTGAAAGTACTTGGGCAGCTGAAAGGGGACATGTGAGCCAGTTTGGGGACATTTCAAAAGAGAAAGAATTATTTAATGTCAGGAGTAGAAAGTGTAGAAAGTTTATTCATTCATTCTCATTTAACGAATGTGTTTTGGCTACTATAATATATCACGTATGTTCTCTGAAATATAGTAGTGAACAAAGTGTTTTACTTAATAGAGTCACATGTTACTGGAACTGGTAGAAGACAGAACAAAAACAAAGATAATTTTAGATTATGGTAAGTGTTATATTAGAAAAGAGACTGGAGAGAGAACCTGTTTTTGAAAAGATATTTAGAGTAGTGTTTTCTGAGGATGTGACATTTGAGCCAAGACCTGAATGTTATGAAGGAATGATCTGAATGTTGAGAATGAGCCATGTACACATTCCAAAAAATAATATAAAAGCAGAGGAAACAGTTAATATAGAGATCATAAGTCAAGAACAAATTTGGAATTAGTAAAGGACACCAAAATATTAAGTGTTGTTTTTATGTAGTTAGTAGAGGAAAGGAACAGTGGTAGACAGGAAAGTGGAAAGATGACAGCACTTGATCATGTGATATCTTGCAGACCTTTAGAGGAGGGTCTAGATTTTGTTATAAATATAAGGAGCAGCAGTTGGAATGTACTATGGCAAGAGGGTATTGTATTCCAATTTTTCTTTTTAAATATTGTTTTGACTACTGTGTGAATGAAGAGATGAATATAAACTGGAAAGCATGGATGTAGAGAGACCAAATAAAAGTTTACAATCAAAATACAGGCAAGAGATGGTGGTGAGTTGAGTAGATGTTAGAATAATTAAGCTAATGGGATGAGTTCATATTGGTATATGCTTTGAAACTAGAAACATGAAAATTGCTGATGGATTGGATATAGTGTGTTGGAGAAATCAAGTATGTCTTCAATATGCAGCAGTAATGATACAGTTTCGAGGCTGAGATTTACTGGGATGAGGAATACCAAGGCAGAAGAAAATTTGGTACAGTTGTGATTGTGAGTTCCTTTTGACATATTGACTTTGAGATGTATATACTCAAGTGGTGATGCTGAGTAGAGAGCTGGACACAGAAGCAGGATCTCAGAAGAAAGGAAAAGACTATGATGCAAAATTTGAAGCCATCAGTATAAAAATCATATTTAAATCACTGGATTACTTACCAAAAAATTATAGTTGGAAAAGTCATGAATATTGAGAATCAAGCCAATATATGGATTACGTTGAGGAAAGAAGATTAAAAACCAGATTTGGCAAGATGGAAGTTTTCATCGTCCTTGAAAAAAGCAATTTTAATCATATGCTTAAAAGAATGTTTAACATTTAAGAAGTCAGAATTGATTCAATGATTGTTCAAACTTCAAGAATGCTGAATTATAATGGAAAATCTGAATTTTCATGCACAATGTTTTTAGGGTACAGAAAAAATAGTTTGCATTATAGCATTTAAATCTTTTCAGGTATTATCTCTGTGCTCTCTTTCAGGCTTTCATTTATTACTGTTTATAGAGAGATCTACTCTGGGTCAAGCAAAATGCTGGTCATGAAATATAAAATTAAGTAGCAATTGTGTGATAACCCTTCATATGTTTATTGTATTGATCTAGTCACTTTTTAAATTAAGAAACTATAGATTAATGGGAAGGTTTTAAGTAAAATTTAATAATCAAAGCCACATGTCTGTTATATGAATGTCTTAGAAATGCACAGGGAGTTTCAATACATGTTTTACTTTTTGTACTCAGATCAAATGTCATCCTTAAAATATGTATACTTTAAGATCAAAAGCTTTTCAATTTTATATTAAAATGACCTCAGATATCTGTACAGCAGTCCATCAATTTATGTATGCATATTTATTAAAATCTATATATAATATGGAAATATTAATGAAATATTTAAAAGTTGTACAAGTTTACATTTTTCCATTTACACTGTGAATTAAAAGATTACATTTACATAAACACCAAATTGAATAACCAATTTTTAAATTCACATTTTCAGGATAGATAGAGGCTTATCAACATTACCTTAAATTATAGCAACAGGAAAATGACCAGTACTTTATTATTGACAAATAATGACTGATATGTGCAAAGTACAATTTTTTTTTTCATTTTACTTAAATAGGTATTTTAAAATTACAAGTGAATATGGAAATTTTATTTCTGGTTCTTAATATGCTTTCTCTGCAACACTCTTCCTTTTCACCTCTGAAAAGGCAATCTTCTACTGTTTATCTCATTTCCAGCTTTCTTCTTTACAAATCAGCAAAAGAGAAAAACACATTGGATATAAAATGACTACTTGATTTGTAAATTCTGGAAAAAAAAAATAAATGTACTGATTTTAAGACTTACAATTTCCCATATTAGTTTTTGATGAATGAGGAACTATATAAGCTTTCCAAAGCATATGTGCCAATCAAACTCATTCCTGACCTAAAATACATTTGCCAGGGCCCAAACTGGCAATCACATTAAACTGCTATAAATAAAGAATGCTGTTTTCTTCTTGTATTATAATTTTTCAGAAAACACTGCACATATTATTCCACATTTTATTCTTTGCTATTTAATATAAGTGACTATAATAGCTATTTGTAGAATGAATACTATCAAATATAAAATTATATTTTCTTTGTAGGAAGGTGAAATTGCTAAACAATTCATTTTCTATTGAATGTCTATTCCAACTATTTTCAGAAATGCAAAAGAATAATTAAATTCATAGCAGCCAAGCATTTACGGGGCTGGATGCAATTGGTGAAAATGTCAAGGTGGCTTTCCAGTCCCTTATTTCTCAAATGCTAGTCTCACTCTAATAGGGACGTCCTGGTCTGTCACCATAAAGAGTAAGTCTCATAGTATTTGGAAAGTTTATTTTCTTGTAGATTCCTTTGCCATATTTTAGTCTTTATAGGAGAATACATTGAACTCACATGTGTGACAGGAAGAAAGTGACTAGTCATTGTTTTATGGATTACTTAATAATCATTGGTAAGTGGAAAACAAATACAAATGATAGAAATTGTAATTTGTGCCTACACATGACATATAAATTTTATTTGAGGTAATCTTATGAATCTCTCACAAAATACATTAATCATATTTTGCTACTGCTCATTTGTAAAAGAGTTTCCAACTTGATTTGAAAAATAAAGTGTGGCTGCTTGTGCTCTTGAGCCAAGAAATATTAATATTTTATTCTTCCTTCTTTATGAGAAAAGAAAATAATTAAACAACATTACCCATGCAAAATTACAATAATTCTCTATGATATGAAGCACATCAGATTGAAATGATATTACTGCATTGAATGGATGTCCGAAAAGTCAAATAAAAATACACAGTATTTTATCAAAAGCAATTAATCCTTTTTCATCCAGAGGATGACATTTCACTACGTAATTGCACAGGAAATTAAAACTCTTTTCATAGGTTTAATAATGAATGAGATATGGGCTTTGGAATAATTGTTTCTATTGAGCTTTGTCATCCTAAGGCACGGCATGCAAGCTGTGACTTGCAACTTGCACCTCTGTCAGCTCCAAGATGGATTAAAGAAAAACAATAAGGGGCTCCATTTGGAGCCCACCAGGACACAAGCAGGTGCCAAAAATTCAAGCAAATTTCTAACATTTTTATTTTTCCTTTCAAACCAATTTCTTTGCCTGGCACAGTGTGCGATGCTGCTCTAATACCTGACATGACAAGTTTACACATCAACTTTCTTTGATAAACTATATTGTCATACGTGATGGCTATTGTCTTTCTCATACCTTTCTATGCATTGACTGTTTAAAAATATTTAAAAACCTGCATTTCAACATCAGCATGTTGAAATATAAACCAACATGAAAATCTCATTAAGCACTAAAAGTGCTTTTATAAATATGTATCAGTGTCAAAGATTTACACATTACATATTTAAGAGGCTAAATTTTATAGATATATGGATAGATATGCATTATATAAAATATATGATTATGCATAGAAATAACCTAAAGCCAAAGAATCTGCATTTGTTATTCAATTTTGAAAGAATATCTGTTTTCTTCCTCATCCTCCCTAAACTAATTTTTATTATGAATCTAATATATAAGGAATGTTTATTAACCAATATTGGGAATTAATGAATTGCAGTGCCATTTTGAGAAAAAAGAATCTAAATTTAGCAAAATGCTGAGAAGGAAGACATGAATACTCAGTTTAAACCCAGACATTCTGTTAATAAGAAAATAAAGACTGCTTTAAGTTAAATTTATTTCAAATGCTTTACAACATTTAAGAGCAAAGAACCTTATATCATTTATTCCATCTATGACAGTTATTTTGTATGTAGTAGCTATTCAATTAATGTATCTAAATCAAATTGAAGTCAGCATAATTTTTCCTGGAAAATTAGTTTTACATTTTCTACCAAACATATTGAAATTATACATAATTTGGAAATTTCTCCATTCCATATTGAAAGCCAATAAAGGAAACTTCTCTTGTATGTACCCGAGGAGAAAAAATGGTTTTATTTACAAGAAAAACTATGTTGTCATGTTGCTCTATTTTTGAGATAAGAGTCAAAATGTTATTTTTTCTGTTTCCAATAAATGATACAGCTGCATTCCATAATGTGCTTTAAAAACTCTTAATATTTTTATATGTAAATTATGAATAGAAAATGCATTATGCAGAAACTTCTCAGATTACTGATTCCAGTAAAGACACGGACCAAATTTCAGTTTTCAGAAGAAGAGAAAGCAGAAAGTGAAGGATAAGAAAGAAGAAAACAAAAAGAAGAAATAAAAAGGAGAGGGAGGAGGAAGAACAGTAGAAGGAGAAGAGAAAAATGAAAGACAGAAGAAGAAGAGAAATGGGGAATACAAGGATGAATAGAGAGAGGGTTGCAAAGGGAGATGAAAGCCAGGTCACTCGTAAAATAATAAATTTTTGATATTTACCTAAGAGCCAATTAAAAATAATTGATGCTAATAAATTAAATTAAAACTCTTCTGTCAAAAAAATCATTTTATTCAAGAAGAGACAGTATGGCATCATCATTAAAACCAAGGGCCCTGGGGTCTTAATTCTACTGGCCTTGGACACGTTACTAAGCTTCACTGTGATTCTGTTTCTCTAACTGGATAAATGGTCATAAAAATATCTGCTGTAGGGTTTCTGCGGGGATAAAATGAGAATGTTAACTATTTATTATGTTAGTCAGTACATAGTAAGTGCCTGAATAAAAAGGGGAAAAAATCACAAAGAAAATATCTATAAATATCTGTATATTAAAATGGAGCATGGTAGAGTAGAAAGACACAACTGAGAGTTGATATTAAATTTAATTTAATTTTAGCACACATTCTTGTTAAAACTGATGTTTTCCATTAAGTGACTTACTGAATTATTTGAGAAATCAGTTTCCACATCTATAAATAGAAAGAATTGTTTTATCATCTAAATCATTATGTTAATTCTCATTATATAATTAGACATATTTATCAGCAGTATACAAAAATAAGTATATCACTACCTTTCTTTGTACTATTCTTTATAATTTGGAATTACTTTGATAATTTTTATTTATCTTGTATTCTATTCCTTTTGTCATTCTCAATTTATGCTCATAATTAGATTTAATTAGAATCTCAAAGTAAAACTGATGCTAAAATCCTTTTTGAACTTATTATGAAATATTAGAGCAATCATTTTACTTTCAATGCCTCAATTCTTTTACTTTTAAAATATAGTAAAAATATAAAGTTATTTTAAAAATTATATTACTGGATTTGAATGGTGCCCAGAACATAGTCAATACTTGGTAAATGTTTGCTTTTTTACTGAGTTATTATTGCTATTGTTGATATCTGTACTATTGCTCATTTGTGATTATGACGGAAATAATTGAGTAGAGTCAGAGAAGCTAAGATGTTAAAAATATTGTTGAAAATTAAAGACAGCTCATTGTATGATACAGTGGCCATGTTTGGAAAGGAAAGCATGACAAAGAGGTAGTGAGAAGCAGTGTTAACAAGCACATGGGCCTTTTAGGACTGGGCATACCTGTATTCTAATTCTGACTCTACCATTTCTAAACAATTATTCTTGAATTTTACTTAACCTTTCTGGACTTCAGATTCCACTCATGTAAAATGAGCATATTCTTATCTCAAAATTTCTGTGTGAATCTTAAATGAAATAATATACCAAAAGTGTTTATTATTTAATAATTAATCATTTTAATTTCCATTCTCAAAAAAAAAAATTTCTTTCTGACCACATACTCACAGGGTACCAACTTACTCTCTCACTGACAATGATTATAAACCTGAGCAATATATGAAACAAATAATTTCAGGAATTGAAAATCTTTCAGTGCAGGTCTATGGTTCTTGAGACAAAAGAAATGCAGGTAAACGCCACATCCACATGATATTTGCAACAATTTCCAGACCTTACGAGCAAAGGTAAATGCCGCTGAAACTGAGAACGAGGGTCTAGCTGGGCAGAAGAAGCAGAAACTGAAGGTTGAGTCTAATGAAGTGTTTGAAATTTGCAGGCCAGAGTGCCAGAAGTGAGAGAATTGATCAGAGAAGGTGACCTACAAATGTACCTAGTGGTCTCCTTGAGTCATTAGGCAAATACTAAACCATACATCCACAGGGCTAGACTCTAGGGTTTTTTTTTCCAAAGGTGGCAGTGTGTTAAAGTCAGTAAAGTAGAGAAAATCTTGCTGAACACTCTGGGCATTTACATGAATCTCTGTAAGGCCATGTCTTAGAAATAGGGCCACTCTAGGCTAAAATTATGGGTTACTCTCATTAAGACCAAGTAAAGTTTACACTAATGCCTTCGTAGAATAAAGCTGAGATGCCAGAATAGGAATTTGTGCCAGAACAAAATAATACACTGTTTTTTTTAAAAGAAAAAGCATAATTAAGACTCTGAAAAATATCCAGCCTAAAATAGCACAACTATTAGACATATGAGGAAGCATGGACATAGATCCATAGCCTGGATATAAAGCAGTAAATAGAAACTAACTCAGAGATAAGTCAGATATTGTATCAGATGAGGACATTAAAACAACTGTTATGAAAAGAAACTTATGTATTGAGATTTCACCAAAAGATAAATAGAAGCTATAAAAAGTAAGAAATATAGAACAGAAAAAAATCGTATCTGAAATATTCTGTAAGAGCTGAGCAAACTAGGAAACCTAAAAACATAGTGGATATAACTGTAAAAGGTATACAGTAACTTTGAAATAATTAAAAATGTTTAAATTAGAGAATGAAACTTTTATAGAGACATTTAAGATATTTCTTTACACATTTGAAGGTTTATTAGGAATAAAAAAGACTTGGTAAAAATAATGAATTCTACTGGTTATGGATGTGTCATATTTTTAAAGTTGTATTTTATTCAATTTTAAAATATTTTGTTTATATTTCTGATACATTGATGAATATAACTGGGATGCTCATTTTTTAAAACAAGGGTTTTTGTTATGTCCATGACTATTAGTGATGGAAAAATAGCTCATTTAATGATAGTTTCTTAGTTGTTAGAATTTGCCAATTTAGAACTCACTAACTTTTCAAAGTAAATAGTATTCAACTTTCACTATTCAGCTGAAATATATGAAACTTGAACATATTGCAAAACAAACTATTCCTAAATGAAGTTGGTCTTCCTTTAATTACAAAATCTTAGCTGAGAACGTTGATGAAATAAATTGGAAACCTTAGGGTCTTATAAGGAAGCTGGTATTCTTTCTTTTATCCATCATGGTCAGGCATTCTTCTTGATCCATCTCTCACAGAATCATATTATTTAATTTCCCTTGCTCTAAGCTTTATGACCCTGCATCTCAATTCCAACAATTGATCTCAACTTTTTGTATTTGAATATAGTAGCCCTGATATTTCCCAAACATCTCATCATGAGGTCATTATGTACTTATAAATTCAGAACTATAAAACAGATACAAAAAAATTGTTAAGTGTATGTAAATAAAAATAATGCTTTATTTTCTGTGATTTGCATTACCTGTTTTCAATGACAAAAGTTTTTCTAAAATTGTCACATTTACCCTCAAATATCTAAAAATGCTGAAGACAAATTATCTGGGTTAGATATGTAGAACACATTAGACATATTATTATAGGACTTATATTTCTGCATGAAATATAAAATATAAGATTCCTAAAGGCATACATTTTGAATGTGAGAGCAAGGCTTATAGATGTAATATCATTAGTTGGATGAAAAGTACTAATTCTTGGTGATAAAGTCATCTTTATTATTACTGTTTTTTTGAATCCAAAGCCAATGGACACCAGTATACTTGTTTTTGCTGATAAAATCTGGATTGTTTCCAGCAGGCTTCTTTCCTTCATATATCAGGAGAAGCTTACCTATACGTATGACCAGGATACTTTTTTAATCTAAAAGCCTTTGCATTAAGCTTTTCCTATAAGTTGGATATAATATTCCCATTTTATGGTGACAAAAAGCATTTCCTAATTATCAGAATAGATTAATGTATGTGTCATAAATAAAATTTTTATTTTGTAGGTGTACTATTTGTATCATTCTGATTTTATTTTTATAGAAAACCAGGATTGGATTTATTATTTAATTAATTTTAAAACAAATTAGTGTTTGAGTGTCATAATTTTGTAAAGTTTAGCCCAGAAATAATGGCATTTTTCATGCTAAAAGATAAATTTTGGAATATTCTTTTCAAATATGTTCATATTATCCTATGAAATTAAATATAACAAATGTCAGTGATATTTAAACCTCGGGTTTTATTCAACATTAATCTTTGAAGCTTCTGCTAAATTATTTTACCAATTTAAATTTTGACAAGGATTTATTTTTCTTAGCTAGAAGCTAATCATAATGTAATAGGATGTTATAGACAAATATATTTAACAAGCACAGTAATCATAGTTGAAAGGAATGCAAAAACTTATTATATACTTCTTTATTGACTGTGGTATTTATGATTAAGTCATAAAATATAAATTTTAAAGTAATTATGAAACTGAGCTTTCAACTGTAAAGATTTTCTGAGGTGTAGGGAACCATCTAATTGATAGTCATTATTTATTTTTTATCTATAAAATGTAAATGTTTATACTAATATAGATGAGTTAATAAAACATGAATATTAAAAGTTCAACATTTTCTAATCCAATGTACACAGTCACAAAGAAATATGTGCACACATAAGTGCAATATTTGATGCATACATCCCATAAAATTCAGGTTGGTTATTATTTATTTTAAATCTGTATAATTAAAAATATTTAATCATAAATTTAGCATACCACATTCTAAATAATCCGTGAGCAGTATAATAATTCCATATCAATGATCAAAGTGGTTTTATAGAAATATTTTCCCTTAGAATCCATAAAATCTTAACAAAATATAAAAAATAAAATCATACACTCTATTCTAAATAAGTAGTGACTGAAAAATATTTATGTTTAAAACATGGAGATTCCCTACTTAATGTACACCAGTTTTAGTAATAAAATTAATTTTTTAAATTCTCACATAATTTATATCAATTTCAGAAATACATGTTATTTAAGTATTTTTGTTTCATTTGCTTCCTAAGCTATATAGATGATCTCATTAACAATCACAAACATTTCAATTACAGATCTTAAGAAGTTACACTTCAGTTTTAGAGCTGAAAAGTTGATAGCAATCAGATTTATTTTATTCTTTAGGACAGTAATAGGGTTGGTAAATATTAAAATTAAATGTTAAGAGAGCCAGGAATATTTTCTTTCATATTCTTTTGAGCTATGAGAAATATATGTCTACTTTTAAAGTAAGTCAAAATAAGCATAGACATAAGTTTTTCTAGCTTTTAATATGTTTGAAGACAATAAAAATGTTTTGCACATGAATAATTGTGATATGGAAAGCACAATATTTCACCTACATCATATGTGTGCATAACAGATAGTAGCAACATACATTAGATTTAAAAAGAAGAATTTCATATTTAAATAAATTCAAATTATAATTTGTATGTCACAGACCTACACTCATCAAAATTCATAAAAAACCTTTCTGTACTGATAAGTCTTATTACTTATGTAATCAGCTTGATAATAAGGAGGTTCTCATTTAACAGAAAAGCTCTCTCTTAACAAGAGAGCAAAGATTCCAAACATTTGGAAATTTAAAAAAAAAATTGACTCTAGAGAGAGAGGGAGGGAGATACAGCATTGAGCAATATAAAAATTAGTTGCAGCATTATTGTAATTTACACAGGAAACTACATAGATTATTTTCCCCTTGATTAGCAATGACTATAAAGGTCAAACTTTTCCCCAGTTTATTACAGAAAATGATTCTAGGATAGAATAAAAATGTCTGTGGTACTGGGTAGGCAGACAATTAAGAACTGAGATTTTCTTGGCATTGAGGACTAGGTCAGGTTATATTTATTTGAGCATATATCCAAACAAAATATCCTGGTGTATAAGATTGATTGAGATTTAATAATTACATGAAAATTAAAGTTAAGTGTAAGTGGGGGTTGTGTTCTTTCTAAACCAGTTTGATACACAGATATAAAGAGTATATAGAGAGCATTAGAGAGAAACACTGTGGAGAATGGAATTGTGGGCAGAGGGCATAGTTGAGGTAAAGATTCTAGGAGGCAAATATAATAAATCACCTTTCATTTTATACAACAGACAGATATAAATATAATGAAGGTCACATCAAAACAAAAGCAGGGAGGCTTTGGTGGGTGTCTAGCAATAATATATTATGCCATCTGCTCAGAGTAGATATTTAGTTCTAAGAATGGAGAAAGGGCAACAGAGCTGGAACATGTTAGAAACTAATGTGAAATGATCAAAGTTTTTGTGAGACATGGGGAAGGAAGTGTGTGTTTTCTTGGATATATATTAATACAGAGAATTTATTAGAAATTATATTCAAAACCCAATCATTCAATCAAAAGAATTAAGAAATGTGTTTGAGAATATCACATTTAGTTAAAAAACAATTCTAAGATATGTATAGATATTGTGCTAGTGATGTTGTTTGTATGTCAAGTAAGGGTTAAAAAAACTCAAGGATTCATTCTTAAAAGAAGTTTTCAGAGTAAAGAAAAATAAAGCAAGTGAACTTTTGTTAACTATTTGTTCCATGGAAGCATTTTTTATCAAAAAGTGTTTGTCATGGAGGAGAAAACATTGTCAGGAGATTAAATAGTGGTAACTGGACTATGTCTTACCTAAGAATTAAGCAAAAAACCTTTTCACAAGTAGAATTTTAGAAAATATTCTTAGAGACAAACATTTGCAGTATGACTTCAGCAATGACTTTCCAATGGCGTGGTCCTTAAAAAATAAAAATCTTAATGCTACAACCTGTAAATGTTTATTAATGTAAAGCTGAGGGCAATTAACGATCTTAAAGAAGTGATCCAACAAAGTGTCAATCTCTGTAGCGGGTTTTCACGTTTTCGTTTTGTTTGTTTGTTTGTTTGTTTTTATCCTATGACCCATGGGACAAAATTTAGGCAGTCCACAATATTCTGAAATGATGCGGGGAAAATATCAATTAGGTGCACTGTGGAAAATTAACTCCCTTAATCCCACTGGATATGCAACAAGGTGTGAAACCCCAAATAGTTAAGATCCCCTGTTCTATTGTAGAACTATAGCTATTGGTAGGCTAGTTTCCTTAGGGAGTATCAGGCCTTACTTACTAACAGGAATATAGCTTCTATGGGACTATAGGTCTATGTATTCATAGTTTAGATGCTCAGATTTTACAAAGCCTCTCCCAAAGCCCAAAACTAAAAGTATTCACAGTGTAATCCAAATATGTAGTTCACACAGATCTAACATGAGAGAATTTTGTATTTTAATTGAGGTGAAGCAAATCACCTAACAAAGTGTCTGGTGTGTAGTAGTTTCTAAAATGTGTATTAATATCTGCCTTTTTTAACAGAATTTTATATTCATGATATACTGAACTTAATTATTCTCTTTGACAGATAATTAAACTATTATAGAACCATACAACTAACTATCTGATGTAAGGAAGTTTTTGAGCACGTATTTTCCAAGACTTGCTCTTTCAAAAGATTAGTTTCATACACAGAGCATGGATTCTGTATTATGGTTCAAATCTAGAGTCTTGAAGTGGAGGAAAAACTTGGCATGTTCTAATCACAGAGGAAAGCTACTATGAGTATGCACAGTACAAAGAATTCAAGAGAGTAAAGGAAAATAAAATGATACAGGTGGACTGATTCTAAATTGTTTAGGATCTATCAGACCACAATACAATTATGTTTTCCTATTTGCAATGGAAAATCACTAGTAGGTTTTAAGCAGACTACTTCCTGTGTGATTTAATTTTTAGAATACACCCTGGCTGCTTTAAAAAGAGTGGATTACAGGGAAGCCGATAGGAAGCAAAATAGACTAGTTAGGTCTAGTCTATATAATATTATAATAGTTCATGTAAATTATGTAGATATTTTGGGCAGGTAGGAAATAGACAATATACTTATTTGAATTACACTTAGAAACACAGCCAGCAAGGATAGTTCATGATTTGAAGGTAGAATGTACCGAATATTTGTTCTGAGCAACATAGTATATGGTGATGCTAATTACTCATATAGAAAAAAATTAATGGAGAATTCATTGTTAGGGAAAAAAATCAAGAGTTCTCTTTGAATCTGTTAAGCTTCAAAAGTCTTTTGAATGCCAAGATAAAAATGTAAAATATGCAGTTAAATATATGAGTTTAGAGTTCAATGGAGAAGAGTGTTACAAAATATATTTTAGTATTTTGGGGTGGCAGGATGTTGGAAGGTAATACATTCCCTTGCAGAGGAGAAATTGAAAACTACAAGAAGCTGGAGGTTTGCATTGTACCTTTTTAAAAGGAAGAAGAAAATCAATAACTGCAATAGCTGGAAATTACTTGAAAGAATGCATGCATCTATATTTAACTTCTATGTATATCTATACATAAAATACTAGAATAACATTTGAAGAGGTGGTAATATAAATTATTGTAAGCAGATACATAAAAATTAGAATATTTAAATAATATTTTTATGTTTAGTTGTCTTTCCAGCATTCAAAGTTTTCTACACAAGCATAGAGTTCAATTGAATTTGTAGAAATATCAATAGGCATTTATAAATTTGCATATCATGAGTAGACTAACAAATTTTTCAATGTGTATGAGTTTTATGGTCTCATCAATGATTTGATACATTACTATCTTACAGAGGGCAGACAGACGTAGTATTCACTGAATCCGTTCATCTCCATTTTGATGAAGATTGTCAGTCCTCAAAAAGGTTAAAGATTCATATAAAGCATTTATGTTTCTCTTCCTTACTCTAAATTATCTTTTAGCTACTAGCATTGAAATATTTAAAATATAATTATTCATCAACAAGATAATTATCAGGCATTAAATATGTGTTAGGTAAATAATTATTTCAGTGCATTTAGTAAATCTTTAATTTAGACACCAACATCTTTTTTCTACATTCCACTCTAGATCTCCAATTAGTACATCTAGAAAAAAGATAAAAAGTGTATCCTCAAAGAAAGGTCCAAACTGCAGTCAGAAACCCTCCTTCCACCCCACCATGGCAGCTTCATGACCTGAGTTAGTGAGCCACAAAATGAGAAGACTTCAAAGAGCTGCAAAGGTTGTGCTACAAAAAAGGGTTTACAGATGTAAAGGGTAAAACAGCGTGAGGAACTACGGAGGTGAAGCTCACATTAGCTGTAGACTATGACACAAAAAGAACATTTAATCTATCAAGGATAGAGAGTAGAATTGTAACAATGAAAAGAAATACTACCTGCTGACTAAGGAAACTAGAGAGGAAAGCGAAATGAAATCTCTCAGGAAAGGCTCTGCGGCTATTAGCCGACAAAGTAAATTGAGAATGCCTTTTTATATTACTTGTGATCATAATGCATAGGAAAGAAAAGAAAAAAAAGAAAAGTAGTATAATTTGCGAGATTGACAACCATCTTGGCAAAGAAGAGAGTATAATGAGATCATAAAGGAGGGTGGTTTCACTCTTTTTTTTTCCTCTTCTTTTTTAAAAAAAATTTAATTCTGAGTTCTACATTTTTTGGAAATAACTATAATGGTTGAGGACGTCAAATCTAAGATTGAGCTGATTAGCAAGCATAATGAACAAAGTGAATTTCGAAAGAAGCTGAAGAATATTTCTGGTTCTCAAAAATAAATCACCTGTCAAAATTTGATAGCAAAGGAGATCAAATGCCACTTACATGTAGTGAAAAAGCAGGCAAAAAAAGATAAAAAGTAAGCAACCCCAATAAAGTGAGAACTCGGCTTAGGGAAAAACCTCGAGTAGACTAACACCATAAGAAGGAGGTAAACAAGATAACTATAATGTAAAACAATACCTTTTACGTATCCTTAATGGCAAGTATCTTAATAAATTGCATAAAGGTGACAATAGTGAGAGTCCTATGAATATTAGGTCTCCAATTTTGTCATTATAAATCAGCTATATTGTTTTCTTAAATCAGTTTCATGTGCTGTCTGTGGTTATTGTGGCACAGATTTTTACTTTAGAAAATACTGACAATAGTAGTGAGTGGACGACATTTGAGAAGAGTGACAACTAGGAAACAAAATGAAAGTGATAAATTTGAGCTTAATAATTTGTATTAATTTATATACCCAACAGTGAGCAAAATCCTGGCACAAGTGAGCATTATATAAATTTGTTTAAAGATACATAAGTGATATAAATTAACTCACTATCTTCTCAGTTGAATCCTAAAGAGATGTTCACAGATATAAAATAATACACATAACAACCTGCACTTTGCTCTAATATAAACATCTATACTCTCAGTAATTATGAGAACTCGAGCTTACTGATCTGTTTACAGATATGTTTTGCTTTTTGCCTTGTAATTACTATCACTGCCCTGGTCCAATTTACTTGAGAAATCAATTGAAGTAAATTTTACCTAAAATCAACTTAAAAAAACAGTAATTATCCTGAAAGATATTTTATAATATTGATAACTTGAGAATAAAATGCCAATGGACCGATTACAAATATTTATATATTTGCAAAATAAATTTAAAAAGAAAAGAGCAAATCTTCTGTTCCTTTTGGTATTTGCTCATTCTAATCCCTCTGCATGATTGCTTATTTTTTAGTTTTAAAAAGTTTTGTCACTTCCATGCACCCCAAGTATGACTTAAATGAATGTCGAGAAATGTTGCTTGGCTAGTGAATTTTTGTAGCATGAGTTCATTGCTATACTTCTTTTGTTATAAAATCTGTTCTTTGGAAACATGTACAGAATATCATAACAGTGAGTAAAGTATTCAATAAGGTCATAGACGATAATGTTAGCAGAATCCTTGCCATAAGGGCATAAAAGATCTTATTAGAACAGACATCTATAGCAGGGAGGACAAATTGTCAGTTCTTCCATGATAGAAGACATCCAATAGAAATAATTCAATATAATCAATCTGCCACAAGCTGGGTAAGTGATCCACACTGGGCCATGGCGCCATATAGGAGCACAGACTTAGTTTCTGCTTTTTGCAACTCTGGTATTTAACAGTGGCAATAAACTACTGATAAGGCCAAATTTTGTTTGTCGAGCTTATGCATACCCTCAAATTCTGCTACCATGCCCGCTTTGTACATGGGCCCATTGTATAAGCACCTGAGAGGCCGATTTAAAAAAAGAAAAGAAAAGAAAAGGAGACTAACATGCAAAGAATGAACATTATTCTCCCCGATTATCGATAGATTTATCTGCAATGAAGAAATGTAAGTAACCACATACCCTTTTATTATATCTTCTTGTTGAATCCTACAATCAATAATTTTCTTTCTAGCCTCTTACCAACTAGCCAAACCAATAGGCTTTGCACATGATTAACATAAATCTTAAACTCTTATCATTTCTCTTTCCATAAAAAAGGCACAATCAGGCGTCTTGCCTAAATTCTGCCCAAAGAAGTATTTCCTTTCCCCGTTGTCTTTCAGGGCTAGCCACTAAAGGGACTGAAGTGCAGAAGGAGCCCACTTATGCCCAATGACAGAATTTCATACTGACGCGTGAAATATTCTGTTCCCCTTTGAACTGTTCATAATGAACTCTTAGTGAGGTTCTAAACCTGGTAAAGGCAAGAGCAGCTACGTACCTGTAGTAGGTGTTGTAAGAGTCTCAGTCATCTGCTCATACAACTTGCTTAAGTCCTACTTGTGTGAAATCTCACTTCTATTTCATAATGTAGAGTTGCTACTCATACCCAAGTTTGTGGAAAAAGAAAGAAAACACTTCATAAGAGCCTGCTTTGATGAAATATTATTTGGAGTTGCAATTAAAGTGTAAAGTCTCTACAGAGGCCAGGAATGATACCTAAGCTATTAATAATTTTCTAAAGATAATTTAACAACAAAAGAAGTCATAGTTTGAAAACTCCCATGGTATGTGCTATGATTCTCTTCTTGGGAATTCATTTCCAGAGGTCCCTACTTTGTACTCACCAGAGATTCCTGGAACACCATTAAAGATGCTGTGCCTAAGGCTTAAGTGACAGGAAAGCATGCATTGCAGCTTCATTCTGCTGCAACTAAAACTAAACTTTTTTAGTTTTAGGAAACCTTGGAAATTATAAACCACACAAGTTACTTGACATATGGTTTGAAGGCCACCTAAATAGTATACATTTTCCTTCTAAAATCCAAATAAGCTTACATAGCATTGATTGTGCCTCTTTCTAATTGGTAAGTGATGCAAGATGCAGCAACTTGTTTTTAAATATAGAACCTTAGCCCCTTCCTCTTTAAAGTGTGGTTCCCTCAAAAATGCATCAGTATTACCTGGTAGCTTGTGAATAATGTAAAAAAGCAAGCCCTTCCCCAGACATAATAAATCACAGTATGCCTTGCAAGAAAATCCCTAAATGATTTGTGTGCATGCATGTTTAGCTTTGAGAAGTACTGCCCTTGAACACTAGATGAAATTCTAGTGTTGTAGAAAAGTTTTAAATTTTGAGGTTTCACCTTTTACCTTTGGGCAAATTCATGTTTTAGTAAAGTATCTAGCCTTCATATCACCTTCTTCTCACCATATCAAAATAGTATAATGTCATTAATGTAGTAGACAAGAGTGACATTTAAAAGTATATATAGGCAGTCAGTAACTCTGTATACCATATTTTGACAGAAAGTAGAATAGTTGATATAACCCTAAATTAACATTATGAAGATCTACTGCTTTTCCTCCCAATGAATATGAGCTACTTCTGGACGTCCTTGTTTATTTATATGGAAAAAAATTCAATCACCAAATCAATAGCTACATAATAATTTGCTCCAAGAAGTAACCAAAACTGGAGTAGCAGGTGCAACTAGAGTTACTGTTTGACAATGTTTAAGATAATCCTTACTATTTCCAGCTAATCAGGACTATGGTTGATATCATCATCCTCACATATTAAAAACAATACTGCTTTGCCTTTACTCTTTTGAAAGGAAAGTTCAGGACCAGGGTTTTAAAATTGTCTGTTTCTAACAAAAACAAGAAAAAAAAATACTCAGGGTGCTGGGGATTATAATTATTGTTGTACATGACCTGAACTAGGAACTAGGTGATAATCACAGAGTTAATGTGTGAATCTGATGAAGCCACTCTTATCATAAGAACTTTAAAGTAAAACTCCATGGATCACCAAATGTTCACTGGGCTGTATACTTATGGGCCACCCAGGGTCAACCCAGAGCCAGTGTCTAATAATCCCCCAAGAACATGAGTATTTCCCCAGTGCAGAGTTAACTGGTATTCCTTTGCCAAGTCCCTTTAAGGAAGTCTATAAGAAAGATTTACATTATATACTTATGACTATAGAGCCTGGGTTCTTCTTTAGTTGAAAGTAGGCTATCTTACAAAGAGCTCTGGGCCTTTGAACTCCTTGGAATCTGGAGACTTTTGCAGCACCTACACTTTCCATTGTAATAATTCAAATCAGATGCCTACTGACTCATTCTAGCAAAAAAAAAAAAAAAAATTATAAAGCGTAAACTATGCTTTATTACACCAAATAACTGTTTTTCTATATCCCTGCAGAATATATCTTCAAGATCATGAAACATATTTATTTTATTCACTCTCTCCAGACATACCTTGTAATTCTTACTTTACCTCCAGTCACATAGGCTCTGATTCTAGTTCTAGGCCTCGAGGCAATGAGAAAATGGAGTGAATATTGAGAAGAATGGGTGGTTCATTGCCAATCAACTGCCTCAGGCAAGGCAATCCAGGTTTTCAAACAAGAAAATGCTAGTATCTTAAAAAATGGATGATGAGGCCAGACTGGAGGATAGGAGCAAAACCCCAAATACTTTCACTGGAAATATATTGAGCGATAACTTTGAACCAATCTATTCATAGGTTAAATGATTTTGTAGAGTAAAAGAGATGTGTCAGAGCTATGCATTTGTTGTTTCTTCTCTTAGGAATGAGACAGCCAGAAATTTAGAAGTAATACTAAAAAAAAAAAAAAAAAAAAGAAAGTATCTTTCTGTTTTTTAAGACATTTCTGTTTTTAAAAACGATGATTATATCTGCAGAAATAACAAAACAGATATGATTATAATATACTATATTAGATTTACTTATTGATAAAGAGAAAAACCATATATTTAAATATTTCTTTGCCAGATGATAGATGATTAAAAAATGAAATTTAACGAAGAGTGAAAAATAAATGGATGCCCAAAAGTATAAAAACAAATTCAAACAATAAAAATGTGAGATTTGGATCCTGTTATGGAAAAGGATAGCAACATTCGGATTGTAAAAAAGTTTTTGATGGGATAAATGCAAAAATTTTAATGCTAAATGTCGCAATGTACAAAAAAAGTCATAATATTTACAAATACCTATGCACCAAACAACACAGTATCTATCTTCTTTAATAAGAAACTCCCTTAAAAAGGAAACATTCTTTACCCTTAGGTGAGAAAAAGAAAAATAGACAAAAACAGCCACATAGATACCACATGTCATCAGTTCTAAAATGATGAACAGATTTGTGTCAGGGTCTTAGAGGAGGAACAGAAGAAACCAAAACATGTACAGTATAAGGTCAAACCACCCTGATAAAATAATCTGATAAGTGATTTTTTTTTTTCTAATCATGTACTATTTGTATGCTGTTCAAAACAAATTGCTACTGTGTTAGTGGGCAAGTTTATACATGGCACAAGCTGTCTATTGCCATCATATGCTATGTGTTGTCTGGGGTCCCAAATGACCACCCTCAGTTTCAATATTTCACTAGAAAAACTCATAGAACAAAGAAAAGCAGTTATACTCATGGATATAATTTATTATAGCAGAAAGATAAAGATTAAAATCAGCTAATGAAATAGAAATATAGGGCAGAATTCAGGAGAAAAAAAACACAAGTTTTCAGTTTTCCCCTCCCATTGAAATTAAGATAGGCCTTAACTTCTCCCAGTAATGCTAAGCAACAATACATATTAATTACTGCCAACCATGGAAGGCTTGTGTCCAGAGTTTTTATTGGGTGTTAGACATGTAGGCATGAAAATCTTGCAACGGCTATTCTTAGTAACTTAGTCTCCAGCCCCTCCAGAGGTCAAATTGGTACTGTGTACGCCAATCCCCCCCACCATAAATCACATGTTAGCGTAAACTATCTGGCATGGCCCAAGGCCCCAGGTGAACAAAGATAGGATCAGGCAGGATATTCCAATGGTTTAGAGGCTATCTCCCAGGAGGAGGTCAAGGGCCAAAACTTTCTTTGGAATGCACAAGGTTTGAACAATCAAGTCCTGCTACATTAACCCTTTACATTAATGCAAATCCTTTAATACTCTGTAAAAGCCAACCTAAAACTTAGTGGCTTAGAACAATACACATGAATTTAACTCAAGTGTCTGCATGTTCACAAATTACGGTGGACTTGATTGGACAGTCTTCTGATCTCACATATATTGGGGGATTGGCTGCAGATCAGCTGATCTAGGATGTTGTAGCCTGGGATGACTCTGCTCCTTATGCCTCCATCAGGCTAGTTTAGGCAAAATCTTGTGGATAAGGCACACAAGCAAGAGTGTTTAAAATGCAGTAGATCTTTTGAAAGCTACTTGATGCATCACACCTAATAATATCTCATTAGCTAAGGCTAGCCATATGATCAAACTTAGAAACAAGGGCAGAGACATAGAATTCTGTCTCTTCAGTGAAAGAAACTGTAAAATTACATGGAAGCCTTGGATACAGGAAGGAGTAAAGAACTAAGTTCTATGTTGCAATCTGCAACACAAAAATTGAGACAAGTTTTTAAAGATTTTTAAAACAGAAAATGCTTCTATGGATTGACTGTATTTAATCATCACAAGGTTACAAATTAAAAACAGATTAAAATTTTCTCAAGAATGCATGAATTGTTTTCAAGTCTACTTTCTGAAAACCTTTATTCTTACATGTTTAGCTTTGCCTTGTAAGAAACAAATAAATGATTCATTAACTTGCATATCAGCCACTGAAATTAAAGAACACATTTCTCATGTTTTGCGATTATTGCCTTACATTAAATTTTTAAATAAAGTTTTAACCCCGTTACAAATAAATTTTATTTTTAAATTTAAATCATAAATTCTTTGACAGAATGTATTTGCTGAAGAAAATTATTTTAAAGATCAGCCTATAAAAGCCTACTGCTACTTGTTTTTATTGACATAGCTAAACAATATGCCCTTGATTCTAATATATAATAAAGACAACTAATAATACTTGCTTTCCTTTTCTTTATATCTAGATTTTTAGGGCAGAGGCAGGTTTTTATTTATTTGGCTGTTCAGATAACTGAATATTATCAATATGTTTGTTAAGCCTTATATATTGTTATATATTGTTAAGCCAATATATTTGTTAACTCCTATATTACTTCAGTATTTTCCTGGATTTGCTTCCTTTCTTATTTGAATACTTCTTCCAAGAGTAGTTTTAATAAGAATGTTTTTTATAGCAGAATTTCTGAGGCCTCACATGGTCAAGAATTGAATATGTGTGTGTGTGTGTGTGTGTGTGTGTGTGTGTGTGTGCTTAAACAGAAAGAGAGAGATAAGGAATCTATATCTTATGATTTATGTATCCAGATTTCAGGATATCCCAACACTGAGTGATATAGTCTGAATGTTGTCTAAGCAATAACATCAAAATAATGATAATGTTCAAAAAATGTACGAGTTAAAAATTTAACTCAGTATTAATTAGAGAGCCAGGAAGATGTTACAACAAGATCAAAGGAAAAATCAAAGAAGCATACTTTTATTTGTAGTAGTAAAAGAATGTTGAAATAAATTTGTACATGGATGCAAAATTGGCTTTCTTTCTGTGGGGAGAGGGGTGTCAATTGAAGCTCCACTGGACAAAATTTATTTGCATTTGCATAAACAAGAATTATTTTGTATTGTTATCAGTAATCTACAACTCACTAGAATTGCAAAATTGCTCAAAAGCAGCTAAATAATTAGCTAACCCAAAAGGCTAAGACCTATCAATACATAGTTTTTCATTTGAGATACTCCATAATCTCTTTTATTCCAACTTTACTTAGCATATTTTGTCCTTTTTATCAAAGTAACTTCAAAGAAATATTATTTCTTATTACAAAATAATGAGGTTTTTATTATGTATGTTCTGTGTCTTAGTCTATTCAAAGTGCTATAGCAAAATACCATAAACTATGTACCTTATAAACCACAGAAATCTCTTTCTCACAGCTTTGGAGCCTGGAAAGTCCAAGATCAGGGTGCTGGCTGATTTGGCACCTGGTGTGGGCCTATTTCCCTGTTTATAAATGGTGCTTTCTCACTGTGTCCTCACATGGAGGAAGGGGCAAGGCAGCTCACTGGTGCCTCTCATAAAGGGCACTAATCCCAATTGAAAGAGCTCTGCCCCCTTGACCTATTCACCTTAAGTCTCCAACTTCTAATATCATCACTTTGGGGGTTACAATTTCAACATAGGAATTCTTGGGAAGACAAGCATTCAGACCATCACAGCCTGGTTATTTATCTAGATATACAAAAACCATTAATTTTTAATGTGCCTTCTATGTTTGCTATACTGAAAATTTTCATAAGGAATATCAGATAGGACTTTTATAAAGTACAATTGTTTTCTACTGGAAGAATAAGAAGCAAAATTCAATAAATCCTTCCCCAGATTTTACCTTCAGTGTTTATGATGTGTATGAATACCTCTTCTTCAAAGTCTCTACAATGTCTTAATGATCTTTGACCTACCAGAAAGTGATCTTTCTTATCAGCTGTGAAGCTGAGAACCCTGTATGCCAGGTAGTGGGCCACTGTTTTTGATGCAGCTCAGTGAGCTTAGATTCTATAAAGTCCACCTTAGTTTTCTAGAAAGGGTTTATCATCTTTGTAAAATAATCATTATTGTCAAACATGATGTTCTGAACAAAGTTTTAATTGCCTTATCTTTCCCATTTATCCTAGTAAAAAGGATAATGGATTACTATTGAACAGTTCAATAACTATGATTATTGAACAACCATTGCCATAAAAAAATAACAAAATTCAATAGAAATTTTCTGAATTGTGGATAGTAGGGTGTCATGAGAATCAGATATAATTTTGAAATGTTTCATTTCAGTTTTCAAAAGAAGTCTACTAAATAGTTATCTGTTAGAGATAAAGAAGACAGAAAAATGACATCTTTATATATTCACAAAATAGAACATTAAAACAATGTCAACACAATTCCAAATTATATAATTACATTTCCTTCCTCAGTTCGTTAGGTTTCATGTAATTAATTCTTGTTCTCCCGTATCTTGGATTAGCATTAACTCTAAAAAGGTTTTTGGATATCCTGACAGCCAGTGGTATGGACCGAATGTTGTCTAAGCAATGACATCAGAAGCCTGTAGCCAAAAATATGTTTTTGACATATCTGTGGTTTAAAATACTTACCAGAGCCTTACTCACAAGGCTCTAAGACAGTCTTTTTTTTTTTTTTTTTTTTTTTTTGAGAGGGAGTCTCGCTCTGTCACCTAGGCTGGAGTGCAGTGGCCTGATCTCAGCTCACTGCAACCTCCGCCTCCCAGGCTCAAGTGATTCTCCCACCTCAGCCTCTAGAGTAGCTGGGACTACAGGCATGCACCACCACGCCAAGCTAATTTTTGTATTTTAGTAGAGATGGGGATTCACCATGTTGGCCAGGCTGGTCTCGAACTGCTGACCTCCAGTGATCCACCTGCTTCGGCCTCCCAGAGTGCTGGGATTACAGGCATAAGCCACCTCACCCGGCTGATAGTCTTTATTTAATGAAGAAAGGAACTATGGCCTGTAGGTTATTGCAGGGCCTTTAGGCAAGCATCACAGTAAACCAAAATCTGCATGTAAATGACAGATACTTAACACGGTCATGGTTAATTTATTACTAAAATTCTCAAGTGTGAAAGATATGGTGAGGGTTTATAATAAGAATTACAGAGCTGATGAGGAAATGGGTATTTCTGTAGTACGCAAAATAAGAAAAAAATAGCCATATCTGAAAAAATTAAACAAGATGTCATTAAGGACAAGGATGAAGCCTATTTCGAAATAAGTTTGTGAATGTTACAACTGATTAGTTAAAATTGATAAACAAAATTTTTATAGAGAAAAAAACTTTTTCATATACAACAAAATAATCCTGAGACACCACATGTATAATATGCTAAGATCACACCAAAAAATATACAAAAAACAAACCAAGAAAATACAAAGACTATTGGAATATTCAAATAAAGTGATTCACTAAGTCTGGAGTAGAACCCAAACATCTGTATTTTTATAAAACTTTATAGATAAACTGGATATGTATTCCCTAATTTTAACAAACTGATTTAGAAGATGCTAAATTTAAATTAGAGAAGTAAGGTTGAAGTCAAGTAAACATTTTAAATAATAACTGATGTTATATCTGGTAGCATTGTTTAATAATCTACAAACCACCACCAGAACCAAGCTAAACAGAAGGATTACGAACACCAGGACATTTCTAGAAAATTTTGTTTTGTCAAGAGTGGTGAAGACTGTGATATGTTATACCACATGCAGTTATGGTCAGGGAAAGGAGTTCTTTATTCATACAACCAGATCAATAGCCAAAGTAATATTACAGCATCATTCCTCAGTCCAGAAGTGATGTGATGGGAGTATTACATCCTGACGATGAAGGAAAAGAACAGAAGATTTTTTCTGTTTTTATACTGAAGTGATAGCTGTCCCCTTTTAGTCCCCCAAAATGAAAAAAAAGAAAATAATAATTTTAATGTTTTGAGCCTAAGAAACGATTTTCACCCTAATCTTTTTACAAAAATAAATAAGTCTTTATAAGAGCCAGATGATCCCTGGATGTCTCCAGTTATAAGAAGCTAGAACTGTCTCCCAATTATTGGCTTCATTCCTTTTGATGTGTTTCAGTGCTTCTGGCACTTAGCATTTAACACAGGGATCTAGTCTAAGCTGTCACCATTTGGTTATCTAGGGGACATAATGGAAGTTGAATATACTTTCATATTAGAGCAATTAACTAGATAAATGCTTGCAGATCTAATTCCTCGTATATGAAAATCAAAATACTTCTGAGGAAGTGAAAGCCAACATTCTCTAGCTTTGTATCATGTACATATCCATGTTTCAGGAGGCTAGGGCATTTGCAAGAGCACTGAGAAACACAGGGAATTTTTATTTCCCCACATTCCTATAAAACAGATAATTTTTAAAATACTTCTATTAGTAGTATTTTACCCACACAAATGTAACCTAGGAAAGGCTAAGCATCCCTTCTAATTTTAAAACAATGTTCATGTTACTCATAAATAATAACATATCAAATAAAACTTAATTATTTTTAGTACCTCTAGAGAACATAGTATATTTTTCTCTGTCACTGTTGCTCCTAGTATAGTATCAACCACTTATATTAACTATAACTCTTAATCAAAGTAACTAACTTTTATTTCACAGAGAGAACGGAGGAAGGTACGGGAGAGGAGGACAAATAATTGAGAGGTGTTTGTCATGCACCAACATTTTAGCAGATACATATGAGTTCCAAATACACATAACATTCTATAGAAGGAAACGCCCCTTTTAAAACTTTTCAAAGTGGCAAAACATAAATTTTTTAATTAACATGGAACAAAGCCATAGCATTTTTGTAACATATAAAAATAAAAATAAAAAATGTAAACTTAAAATTATGACAAAGAGTCAATGTTTGGTTCTTAGTTTGGAATTATATGGATAGCCACTGATTATCCAATACCTAACTAAATTAACTCATTCTAAGATTTTAAGTCATGTAAAGATCTTGAAAATTTTCTTCCAAACCCACTATAAAACCTAATTACTGTTAAGTTGATAAAAATCCATTTTTTTAAACATACATTTACATTTTTTGTAGTCTTAAACATCACATGAGTAATGTTACCTCTTTGATCAGTAAATGTGTATAAATTTGGAAAAAAATCATACCCAAGTAGAATAACAAGCCATTCTACCATTCTACTTCCACATGCAAATAAGTGAAGGCACAACTATTTTTATTAAACCATAATAAGTAATTTTTTTTTCTGACCAAGGTTTTACCTAATTTACATTCCCTTGGATTTTTTAAAGTTTCTGGGTTAGTTTATATAAAATATTATTTTTATCTTTTGATTACAGAATATTTAAATTATTACAAGTTCAATTTTATTATTACCTGTAAATTTTAAAAATTGAATATTTGTTAAGTGCTTATTTTTCTCTATAAATCCATTAGAACTTACTTTAAGAGACTAAATACACTAATTTCAAAATATTCTCTAGAGGTACAAAAATATTTCATACTTACAGGTAAAGACCTTTGTGAATTACAGATAGACATACTGGCATAAAGATAACTTATAGCTTCAATTTGATAATTTCAGCCTTGAGCCAATAGTAAGCACAAAACCACAAAAGCTCACTGATTAAGATAAGAAAGCGATGTTCTCCTTACTAGTGATCAAAATTTTCTACAGAATTTGAGCCCAAAGTGACAAATAAACAAACAAAAAGGTTGTTAAGCCAGATTCTCTAATACTTCTCATCTACCAGGTAATAGATCTCTATAAATCATTAGTCCTTTTACAGAGATCATAAAATGGCTTGGCCATAGCTCCACATTCCTAATAATTGCTATCACTTATTAGTGATTAAAAAAATACATAGAAAAGAAAACTGAAATTGGAAAAACAGAGAGTCAACAAAATTCGACTGCTATTTGGATTCACCTCAGGGAGTCAAGAAAAGATGTGCCTGGGCTCCAACAGCCCATAGAGAGAGCAGTTCCCTAGCAACAATGTCCATTCATCTAACTCTGTCAGGTGAATCAATCCACTGTGAGTCTCAGTGGAAGACTTCCAAAATTGTTAAAGAATTCTTTTCAAAAAAAATTATAACTGACCTAGAGATATTAGATGAACTCTTGTTAGATATTTAACTCAGCATTAATGAGGGAGCAAGGGAGAACTTACAACCAGTTCAAAAAAGATTTGAAAGAAACAAACTTATTTTGAGTTTTAAAATGTTGAAGTGAATTTGCCAATGTATTCAAAAGTAGCTTTTAAAAAACAGTAGTGAGGGAAAGGAAGAGAAGAAAGTCCATTGAATCCCCACTGGACAGAATTCATTTGGATGTTCATAGACAAGACTTATTTTGCATCAGTTTCACTTATCTACAATTTGCAGAGTTATAAATTAGCTTTAAGGCAATACAAGTCTGAAATCAGTTAATCTGGAAGGATGTCCTCTAAAGAATTTGTACTATTCCATTTAGACATCTATTTTCTTTTCTTTTTATTTCAAAATTTCATTTTAATCTACATAAATAAAAAATCATATTTCTGCATGTATCTAGTGATGCTGTTAAGCAGTCTAATACTAATTTGATTCTTTAAACTTTGCAGATGATATGCTTTTGCTCCAAGGGAGTTTAGTTTTGTTTTTAAAAGTTTGCTTTATTTTAAGAAATACATTCCTTGTTTTTGTTGTTCTTAGGTTTCAGTATAATGGATCTAGTTCGGATTTCACATATTCCTCCCACTGAGCTTTCTCTGAGGTCTTTCAAACTGAGGCTTTTATTTTTTGTTTTTGTCTTCCTTTTCCTTTAAATAATTTTTTTTCTTTCTATGGTATGTTATCAAAAGGCTTATTATATGATTCTTAGTTTTTAAACCTCTAAACTTTACTTTTCTATTTACTACTTCTCTTTTCGTTCCTTTGGATATTTTGGTGAGTTGCTTGATCTTTTCTTCCATTGAGTAATCTGTTCTTCAGCTATGTCCATTCAGTAATTTATTCCATCCATTTTCCCCATTATTTATTTCAAGTATATTTTGCATACCAAATATTTTGTTTTGGTTCTTTTGAAATTATTTTGTGTTTTTCTCCAAATTATTAATACCTCAAGCTCTATAATCAAATGTATTGTGCTAATTTTAAATTCTTGTTTAATTGAATCCTCTTTAACTCCACCCCTTCTCAAAGGAATTTGCTCCACCAATCATCCTTCATTTCTAATATTGTTAATGCCAACTTTCTATTTTCTTACAAATATAATGCTGTAGTCATCCTTGACATTTTTGTCTTTTTTTTTTCAAAAAATTAGGTCAGATATTTAAAATAAATTCAGAATCTAACCATTTTCTAATCTTTCTGTTACTTTCTCTGAATCAAGACATCATCTCTCACCAAGATAACTATAGTAGCCTCTGAACTTATGCCTGTTTTTACCATATATCCCATCAATATTTTCCCCAATGTAATTGTTTAAGGGAGGCTAAGAAAAATATAATCAGGCTGATTTAGTCCTCAAATTAAACAATTTCCTATTTATCTCAGAGAAAACCCCCAAACTCTCACAACTGCCTATGAGGCCTTGCAAACCTCTGTATTTCTGTGAACTCATTTTCTACTATCCTTCTCATTGCTTACATCAGTCTATCCCTACTGACCAAGAATTGCTCCCTGTAGTGGGTTAAAATGTTGCCTCCAAAAAAGATATATCCAAGTCCTGGAAACTGGGAATGTGACCTTATTTAGACAAAGTATCTTCACAGATGTAGCTAAGGCTCTCAAGATGAGACCATCTTGGATTATCTTGGTGGACCCAAAGTCCAATAACAAATGTTCTTATAAAAGATAGAACAGTTATACGAAGATAAAGGCAGAGACTGGAGTAATGCAGTCTTAAGACAAGAAAATGCTAGAATAGCCAGAATCTATAAGAGGCAATAAAGACAATATCTCCTTGCAACCTGGGGAGAAAGATCCCTCTTGCTGTCACCTAATTTCAAATTTCTGCACTCCAGAACTACAAAAGAATAGAGATTTCTTTTGTTTTAATCATTGTTATAGCAGCCCTCCCTGGGAAATGAACATAGTACCAAGGAAGGCAGACAGACTTTGTCCTCAGCACTTGCACTGACTTTCTCTAATGCATCAAATCATTTTAATCCATATAATTGTATTGCTTATATACCCACTTCATTTAAATTTTTACTCAAAAGTCTCCCTCAGAGTGTGACATAAAATGACCACTTTACTTAAAATTGCAACTCCACCCTCCTAACATTTCTTACCCTATGTTTCAGGCTGTTGTTGAATTGCTATAAAGAAATACCCAAGGCTGGGTAATTAATAAAGAAAAGAGGTGTAATTGACTAACGGTTCTGCAGGCTGTACAAGCATGGTGCCAGCATTTGCTCAGCTTCTGAGGAGGCATCAGGGAGCTTTTACTCATGGCAGAAGGAGAAGGTGGATCATGCATGTCACATGGTGAGAGTTGAGCGAGAGAGTGGTGGGAGGTGCCACTCACTTTTAAACAACCAGACCTCATGAGAGCTCACTATCAAGAGGACAGCACCAAGCTATCAGGGATTTGCCCCCATGACCCAAACACCTCCCACCAGGCCCCACCTCCTGGGGATTATATTTCAACATGGAATTAGGGATGGCAAATACCCAAACTATATCATTCTGCCCCTGGTCTCCCAAGTATCATGTCGTTTTCACATTGCAAAATACAATCATGCCTCCCCAACAGTCCTCCAAAGTCTTAACTAATTCTGTCATCAAATCACTCAAAAGTCCCACATTCAAAGTTTCATCTGGAAATGAGTTTCTTCCACCTATAAAATCAAAACAAATTATTTACTTCCACAATGGAGGTAGAGTCATTGGGTAAACATTTTCATTCCAAAAGGAAGAAATCAGCCAAAAGAAGGAGGCTACAGGCCCCATGCAAGCCTAAAAGCCAGCTGAGAAGTCATTATATCTTAAAGCTCCAAAATAATCTCCTTTGACTCCAAATCCCACTTCCAGGGCACATTACCACAAAGGATGGGCTCCAAGGCATGGGGCAGCTTTGCCTGGGTGCCTTTTCCAGGGCCAGGATACAGATTGCTGATGCTTCTACCATTCTGGGTCTGGAGGGCAGTGGCCCCCATCCCACAGCACCACTAGGGCGTGCTTCTGTGGGGACTCTGCATAGGACCTTCAACCCCACATTTCTCCTCTGCCCTGCCCTAGAGGTTCTCTGTGAGGGCTCTGCCCCTGCAGCATGCTTCTGCCTGGGCACCTATGCTTTCTTATGCATCCTCTGAAATCTAGGTGGAGGCTACCAAGTCTCCTTCATTCTGGCACTCTGTGTGCCACAAGGCTTAACACCTTGTGGAAAACCCCAAGGCTTACAGTGGCTTGCACCCTCCAGAGGAGCAGCCTGAGCTGTTCCTGAGGCCTTTTGAGCCATGGCCATAGCTGGAGCAGCAGGGATGCAGGGATCAGCCTCTCTAGGTGGCAGGGGGGCTATGGAGCTCGAGGCCTGGCCCCTGAAACCATTCTCCTCCTAGGTCTCTGGGTCTGTTTTGGAAGGCTGCCTCGAAGATCTCTAAAATGCCTTCAAAGCCTCTTTCCCATTATCTTGACTATGAGTACCTGACTCATTTTCAGTCATACAAATCTTTCTAACAAGTGATTGCTCTGTAGCCCACTTAAATTCCTCTCTAATAATGCTTTTTCTTTCTCTGCCACATGGCAAGCCTGAAAATTTTCCAAACTTTTATGCTCCACTTCTCTTTTAAGAATAAGTTCCAATGTTAAGTTATTTAAGCAGCCACCCTCCTCCTGGTAACAATTTTCTGAATCACGCTATTCTTGCATTGCTATAAAGAAATACCTAAGACTGGACAATTTATAACAAAAAGAGGTTTAATTGGCTAACAGTTCTGCAGGCTGTACAAGCATGGCACTGGCATTGGCTCAGCTTCTGGGGAGGCTTCAGGGAGCATTATTCATGGCAGAAGGTGAAGGGGGAGCAAGCACATCACAGGGTAAAAGTGGGAGCAAGAGAGTGGGGAATGGGTACCATACACTTTTAAACAACCAGGTCTCATAAGAACTCACTATCAAGAGAACAGCATTTCCCACAAGGCCCCACCTTCAACATTGGAAATTAAATTTTAACATGAGATTACGGAGGAACAAATAACCAAGCTATATCACCCTGTTTTACTTTTCCATAGTACTACCATCTCCTCAAATAAATGTATGTATTTTACATGTATGGTTTTCCTCCCCCTAATAAAATGTATGCTCTGGAAGAATATAAATATTTGCCTTTTTGTTTAAAGCTAATATATTTGAGTTATGTATTCCTTGGCACCTAAAAGAGTTTCTGGAATGTAGCACAAACTAAATGAATATTTGTTGGATGAATAAATTGGTCACTTAGTTTGTCACCTTTTTTTTGCAGTAGTCATATTCCTCTGTGGTTGGGTTAATTTGGATTTGTTCCCATGGCGTTCCTGTTACCTCCTTAATTCGATTCACTGTCTCCACAGATTAATTCAGTGGTTGAGGAGGAAATATTGTTTATCATTCCCATTCTTCCTGGCTCTCAAGCAAGAAATTTTTCTAAACAAAATTTTTCTTTTAAACTCTTAAGAAGTAGCAGCTGCCTTTCAAGAGGCAGCCTCTGTAAGTTTTAATCAGTCACTGGGTCTGGGAGAGCAAAAGCTTGCAGACTGTCCCTACACATTGCAGGAGGACTTTTGTGCAGACCTAATATCATTTCCACTTTGGAACAAAGACTAGTACTGCTGCTACTAAACTTTTGTGATGAGAAGGCAGAAAAGTATTTTCCCAAGGGACAGGGGAAAGCCTGGAACAAGACTTAGGCAGTTTACTCCTGTGTGAAAGAGTAATGCTGCCTCTGTCATCCTACAGCTGACCTGAAACTATCAGGCCTTGCTCTTCTCCAGTTGATATAAATAATTTCATAGAACATTAACATCAAATAAGGTCACTCTTGACTATGATGAATCAAGGTAAAAACAAGATCACTCCATAATTATGGGTGAACACAGACAAAACAAGAACATGTCCAGATCACAGAACACTGAACATTCTCCTCTCTCAGACACCTCTGAGACTGCTACTGCTTTACTAAATTTAGCTTTAGCCCCAAGTTTTCTCTCCTTCTAGATATGATATATTAAAGTATCCAATCACATAATAACCTCCACTCCTTTAAAATGTGCAATCCAGAGCAACACACTCTTCCTTACACTCTGCCCTACATCATCTAACACAAACTCAAATCTTATACTAACTACATTTTAACACCGTGTGCTGAGAAGCCCTCAGTCCTCCATAGTGTGTGTTGGCTCTTGCTGAGGTTTTCCAACCTGTATAACTGTGGGTGTGCTCTTGGTGGTCTTTGGCTAGAAATAATTGACACCCACCTATCTTCATCCTGAAGCTTCAGATAGTTCTCTAGTCAGTAAAGTGCTAGAAAATATTTAACAATGGGCTCTCAAATAATAATAATAATAATGAAGAAGAAGCAGAAGCAGAAGAAGAGGAGGAGGAGGAAAAAGAAGGAGAAGGAGGAAGAGGAGGAGAAGGAGAAGAAGGAAAAGGAGAAGAAGACATAGTCCTGCATTGTAGTGTTTCCTAATTTCCATGATATAATTACTTCCGCCAGGGGTTATTCAAAGATACCAAGTATTTATTTGGCTCTTAAAATCCTGGACTTCCCTAAATCAGCTATTGTTTGATGGCATGACTGTCTACAGGATACTACAGCCTTTAGCTGTCAGATACTCACAGACTACATGTTCGCTTCCTAAAATCTATGCCACCTTCCCTGCCAATTCTACAGTTTCTCCAGGGTCACTCTGGGGGTAAGGAAGCAGCATGCTACAACTCTTCACTCTTGCAACACTAACTAGAAAGTCTGAAATGTAGTTGTTATTCAAGCAACCATGTGTGCACGAGTTTGTAAAGGGAAAATTAGTCATTGGTTTAAGATATATATTGGTAATTCTTTGAGGAAAAGGAAAGAATTTTGCACTTAATGAAATATAACTTCTGTAGATAGAACTCAATCTCCTTTTAAGCTTCAGCATACCAATTGGCACAAATCACCCCATGTGATAGCAAAGGCAAATATTTTCAATCTATTTTGGCATTGACTTTCACTATACAACTTAAGAGTTGTTCTTAAAGGGAAACAATTTTCTCCTAAAGCATGTACATAATGATACTTGGAATGTCACTTGTAAAAGAAATTACTCGAAGCATTTATAATTCTAGTATTTAAATATGCAATACACTGTAAGATCTGAACTAAAATGTAAAACTTTTTACCACTTCTTTCAGTGTTTCCATACCATCTGAACCATAAGATTTGAAGCTAACTGTCTGCTTTTGAATGGCATGTGTGCTGTTGATGACGTTGGTAAAGTTATATAAGCTTTGTTCCTCAGTTTTCTAGTCTGTAAAATGAGTGTGATATTAATAGAACCTAACTTATTAAGTGGTGTCAAAGATTAAATAAGTTCCTGTATGCAAAATGTTTAGAAAAAAGCCTGGCACATAATAGGTGATATCAATATGAATATTCTTATTATTCTATTACTTGAGCATACATTATAATTAGCCATTCAAGTATGTGTGTTTTATGCAAACACGCATTGTACAATAAGAACAATTTTTAGGGGCCAGCTTATATGCATAGTATTGCAAATCTGCTCCTACGTTTACACATTTTCAACATAGAAAATTTTTGAAATAAAGAGTTATGAGATAATAATATGCACAGAGCTGTATGAGTGCTAGTTATTTGGGAGGACAAAGTTATATTCTTCAATATATTTTAAAATAGAAATCATAAAAAAAAACTGTGTTTCAATATTGGTGTATTTTGTTTAAGTTGAAATAAAAGCTATTTAAAACTTTAAAAGTGTAAAATTATCCTTGCCCTTTGAAGTGGTAGTTTAATGTAAATATAAGAATTAAAAGGTGACTAACCATTTATTACTTTTTCACATTTGTCAGCTTAATCCAGTCGGGTAGTTTAGAAATTCTGTCACAGATGTCTGAAATTGTTAAAATTAGCATGTTTTATCTGCAGAATGCAGAATGTTCATTTACATAAAATTGGTTCATTTCTAACACAATGTAGCTATAAAAATATGTTTTCATAAAATACATTTAAAGTAGTTGAAATACTTTCTGGAAAAATTGAGGGGAAAACTGGTAGCATTTATGATGAACTCACCATGATTTACCCTGGCAAGACAAAGTCCACACTCTTGCTAGTTGATTGTTATTGAACCTTGTTTTAAAGAAAAAGATTATTATAACCACAAAAATGGGGTGAAATAATAAGATTTATCAACAATTGTTAAGTAATTAGGATAGACTGCTTTCATAAAAGCTTTCTCAAAAACAAAAATAAAAAATCTTTCTCTATCTATCCCAGATTCTAGAATATTCATTTTATAACATACCATGAGCACTTACTAAGTGAGAGAGTACTAAGAATTTGGAGGAATGCTGTGTTCAGTAATCTGACAAGTAATTTTGTAGCATTATGCCTTTTTAAGATAAAATTCATCAAATAAAAATGATCAAAAAGCAAAAAAGAAATAATAGATTGATGAAAGAGAAACAGAGAGAGAAATTGGAAAAAAAAAACAAAGAGCAAGAGTAGAGGAAATCAATTTTAATTTAAAAAATTAATAAGTGGTAATACAGAGATTATATTTAAAAATGGTTTTACTTTTTAAATGACAAAAATCAGAACCCAGATACAGATAAATATATAAATTTATCCTTCGATGAAGGCATGGGTTATACCCCAAACCTAAGATTTTCTGCTTTCAACACATTTTTATCTGGAACTCTACATGAATATCATGTTGTCATGCCCACCCCTTCTCCGACAGCTTGAATAGGCCTGGTTTAAACTTTGCCAAAAGGATGACCAGCAGGGACATTTTGAATAATGGCCTTAAAAATCTGAATGGGTAAATATGGGAAATAGTACATATTTAGCTGCAGAAATTAAAACTATTATTCCATGAAGTATTAAAAATGGAAAAGGAACACATGTCCAAAGCACTGAGTAAGCCCTACTTGAAGAAACAAAAGCAATTATACAAAGGAAATACACACCAGGTAAAGATCACATTAGTAGCCCAGAAATATACATACAGATAGAAATAAACAATATATGAGGGGCAGTTCTGATAATGCTAGAAACTACTGCAGAAAATCACAAACTTCTTGACTGTAGTCTTGGCCTATATCTTTCCTCCACCTCGGCTTTGTTTCATTCTTTCTACTTACCTTCACTAAAATACAATGTATTTTACATATATATATATATATATATGTAAATATATGTGTATATATATGATTTATATGTATGTATATATGATTTTGTATATATATATGTGTATATATATGATTTGTCTTTTTTCCCTAGAATGTAAGATCCATGATGGCAAGTTTGTTTTTTGCTGCCTTCTGTACAATTCAGAATAGTGTTTGTTTGTGTTTATTTCTGTGGGTCTAGTTTAAGAATGTTCCTGAATTTGCCAGGTGCAGTAGCACAGGCCTGTAATCGCCACTACCTGGGAGGCTGCAGTGGGAGAATTATTTGAATCCAGAAGTTTGAGATCAGCCTGGGCAACATAGCAAGACTCTGTCTCAAAAAATATAATACAATGTTTCTCAGTTAAATAATTTCTACATGGACTCTTAAGAACACACACACACACACACACACACACACACGCACTACCTGATTTATTTCCACCTCCCAGAAGAAACTATCACAAAATTTTTATCAGATTATTAGCTAAATAATACTACTGTTTAGCTAAATAATACTAAATGATGTCTCATAATGGCGCTTTTTTGGTTTTGCAATTTTAGTATCATTTATTGACTTCCAGCAAGGAACTATCTTTTCTACCACCCAAAACTTATTTATTTTGCTGCTTCCTGTGGAGGAAAGAATTTCATTTTTCAATTCTTCTATTGAATTTTAAGTAAATTATGTTTTTTTCCCCAAGAGTTGTTTCTGTTCTCTGAATACTCCTTTAAAAACAAGTATGCTCAAAAAATGGGAAAATATGTAGATTATAATTAAAAGGAAAAATTTACAAATTACAAAACTAGAGATAAGATGCAAACTAAAAACAAACATCCCAGTGGTTTCCAAACTGAACATGTTGGAATGGCAGTATGAATGTGGGCGTCTACTCACACTTCCCTGTTTCTCCATTAATGCTCATCAAAACATTTGTGTGAAACCTTAGTGACTTCACTTAAAATTTTTACTTGAAAATTAAGATTCCGAAGAAATAATTATATAATTATTCACCTATTCAAATAATCTTTTGTAGAGCAGTTGAATAAAAATTGTCTTTCTTTTGTAATAAACTTATGTTGTTCTGTTGAGAGGTAAAATATAGGCACAAAATAGTAAATTCCCATATGAAAATGTGGTCCATGTTTTAGAAACATCAAATTTTAAAAAATACAACAATATTTTAATGAAAATTAATTTTATAATAAATAGTTGCAGTAAAATTGCAATACAATCACAGAGTTTTTAGACTTCTTTCAAAACATGGTATTGTTTTTGTAACTGTTAATAGCTCTTCACTCCATGTGCAGCATTTTTCATACTCATGACGTTTTACTATTACCTCCAAGATATCAAAGCTCAGTTTTCAAGTCTTGACCTTCTACAGTTGATGTAGGAAGATGGTAAGATAATTCTTCATACAAGTGGAAAGATTTCTATTCCAAACTCATATAAACTCATACTACTTCATGCAAACTGATTTTCTCAACCACTCCCTATCACAAATCATTAATAAAGAAGGAGAGATAAACATATACTCTCTTCATTTTTTTTCCAAAATGCATTCCTATGCAGAGGTTTTTAACTGACTTCCCATTGAGTCCTTTTAAAAAAAAAAAAATTGAATCTAATTTTTAAGTAACATTTAATAATTCGGGGATTATGTCTAATTAAGATACCTGAATTACCTTAGAAATTCAGAGATTCTCTCTACATTGAATATGCATTTTCAAATGTAAACAATTGGCTGGGCCTGAGTACTAGTTTCCTCTGTAATCTCAATGGGAGGCATGAACTGTACAGTCCCTACCACCGACAACACATAGGCATATATCGTACATGCCCGTGGTGGCTTCATTGTATAGACATTTGGCTAACCTAGGAATTTGACCATTCTAGTTGTAGTCATGCTTCCCCCTTTCCCAACTGGAAGAAATTTTCCATTCTCCAGACATTTAAATTTCACAGCTTTCTACATTTTGGTATACACTTGAATATACAATTCTTCATCCTTTTTCCTCATTTTCAATGCTAAATATAAGGCAGAATAAGTATTTTTGTTTCATATTTATGGAGAACATACTGAGAGTTACATAAAAGAGTTACTTTTCCTTTCTTTTTTTTTGTTCTCTTATTTTTTCAATGTAGAGTATAGTGAGATTATTACTTGAAATTAAAGTTATCAGATGAAATTTTACATGAATATTTAATCTTCATATGAAGGTCAAATAACATTAAAATCTTTATGCATGACTTTCATAATATACTGATATCTCTGTTTTCAATTTTTTAGTAAATTTAAAATATTAACAATATCCACAGAAAGAAATCTCTAACAATTATTTTAAAATTTAATAGTAATCCAAGGTACTTGATTCCCATTATCATTAAAGTACTGCTTTTGGAAAGAGTATTTTAATGAGATGCTAATGGAAAATACTGCTGCCTCCTTTTAAACCTGACCCACATTTCCCTATGCTCAGATAAAGAGCTACTGTAAAAATTTAAGTAACTTGACTGAAAACAGAATAAGTAAACTTAAAAAAAAAATAAGTTCTGCAAATGTGTTACTGATAAATTGCAGTAAAATAAAACATATTTCAAGATTATTGTCTTGAATTTTTATGGAATATTTCTTTTCAGATTTAACTTAAGATACTTGATGTAATATCTGATGAGGTTTTTTAACCTAATCAAATCTCTAAAATCTTTGGGAAAGTGATATACATTCAATGTCTATTTTATTTAACATTGCAGCTATTGAATCAACCTCACAATTGTATTAATGTCAAATATATCCAGATGGATCAGAAAAAAATTTAAAAATTAAAAATATTTAAAAGTAATAGTCCTAATGTTCTTGATTGAAATATATTTATAAAGATACAATTTGTATTTGACTTCCTTCTCCTGTATATATTTACAGGACACTACTTTAGTAACTTTGTACTTTCTAAACTAACTAAATTAGAACGTCATAAGGGTGGAATAAGAAATATGATTTAAGTAACCAATTGATATTTTTAATCTTGTGCTTCTTCCAAAGAGGAATTGAGAGCTTCAATATGCAAAAAGGAGAGCAAGCAAAAGAGGAAGAAAAAAAAAAGGGTGAGTAGGCAATGAGGCAAGTGCTTACATTCTTGTGAGGCTGTGAATAGCGTTCCTTAAATCTATGTTTTACATATGAAAAGAAAGGAGTGGGAGAAACAGTCAACTATGCATTCATCTCACACTCAGTAATCTACTTTTTACATGCAATAAAGCATTTGAAAGTACAGCTCTGACTGGGCACAGTGGCACTCATCTGTAATCTCAGCACTTTGAGAGCCGAAGGGAGGAGGGTCAATTGAGCTTGGAAATTTGAGACCTGCCTGGGCAATAACATGAGACTTCACCTCTACAAAAAACAAACACTTTAGCCAGGTATCGGGGGCATCTCTGTGGTCCCAGCTACTAAGAAGACTGAGGTGGGAGAATGGCTTGAGCCTGGTAGGTCGAGGCTGCAAAGAAGGATGATCATGCCATTTCACTCCAGCTTGGCAACAGTGTGAGACCCTGTCTTAAAAAATAAAAAGTAAAATAAAACAAAAATAAATTTTAAAAAATTACAGCTCTCTGGGAACAAAAGGAAGATAGTTTTTTGCATGACTCAGTTCCCAATCTTAATTTTCTCTTCGGCATAGGCAGTTTGATGTCTCAAGCTTTTATTTTTATTTCATACTTCCCTCTATTCTTAAAAATCTTTCAGAAGAAGCATTGTAAAAGAAAATGAGTCTCTGGTCACAGGTTTGGTCTGAATCTTCATCACCAGGATGGTTTATTCCTAGAAGGTTAGGTCCCATGTTGCTAGGAAGGCTCATTTCTAACAGGTCATGTCTCAGTGAGATAGTCAAATGCCTAAGCAGATAAAAGGGGATCTCCAGAGAAACTCAGACATGCTCCACAAGTGTTTACATCAGATGCATTTGTACAGACAAGGGAACCTGCCCAGGGCCTTGTCTGAGCATGCTCAGGTGTGCACTGGGGGAACAGGGTGGAGCCATAGGCAGGGGAAGGAGCCTGGCCTCTTCAGTTCCTTTGTGATGGCCTGGGATTCAATCTCGCAGGTGGCGGGGGAAGGGGCGGGGGGCTGTTAGCAGGACTGCATCTCACTTTGTTAAGGTTTTTGTTTGTTTTTCTTTTTTTTTCCCCCCGTTTTTGCCCAATAAAATCCTGCTCTACTCACCCTTCAGTGTTTCCATGTTTCTACATTTTCCTGATCGTGTGAAAATAACCCAGTTTTTGCTGAACTAAGAGGCAAAATTCTGCAACATTTTGGCACCCAGACTTGGGGCTTAAGGAAGAATGAGTAAGGTGTGAACCGAAAAGTCTTCTTCATTTTTGCTTCTAAGCCTTTTTGTCCTCAGACTTTTTCTGAGGGTAGAAGAAATTGTGCCTCCTTTCTGCCCCGACCCCCATCGCTTTCAGGGGTTGGGAATGTCAACAATTTCTTTCTTTTTTGGGGATGGACAGTCAAAGAGCGGCTCCCTCTCCTTCCAGCTGAGGCTGGGCTTCACGCCTCAAGGATACCCAATAACTGGCCTGCCTTCCCCACCACACATCCGTGGAATCTTCCCCTCCTCCAGCCAAGGAGTCCAGCTCCTTCTGACAGCTATTAAGTTTCTCTCCCAGTGGGAAGAACCCATTTGCATGAGAATAAGAGGTTCTGTGAAATCCCATCTCTACTAAAAATACAAAAAATTAGCCAGGCGTGCTGGCGGGCACCTGTAGTCCCAAATACTCAGGAGGCTGAGGCAGGAGAATGGCATGAACCTAGGAGGCAGAGCTTGCAGTGAGCCAAGATAGCACCACTGTACTCTAGCCTAGGTGACAGAGCAAGACTCCGTCTCAAAAAAAAAAAAAGAATAAGAGGTTCTTCCCCAGACTCAACCCTGCACCTTAAACTTTTTTTTCCTTTTCTCTACCCTGTCAACAGTTAACACAGTCCTGCACTTTGAACTTTTTTTCTTTTCTCCACCAGTGTTACAGGAAGTCAGGGACCCTGAATGGAGGGAACAGCTGGAGCCATGGCAGAGGAACATAAACTGTGAAGATTTCATCTTAATATGTACATTTATCAGTTCTCAAATAATACTTTCATAATTTCTTATGCCTGTCTTTAATTTCTTAATCATGTTATCTTCATAAGCTGAGGATGTACATCGCCTCAGGAGCACTGTGATCATTGTGTTAACTATACAAATTGATTGTAAAACATGTGTGTTTGAACAATATGAAATCAGTGCACCTTGTACCTTGAAAAAGAACAGAATAATAGCGATTTTTATGGAACAAGGGAAGACAACCATAAGGTCTGACTGCCTGCAGGTTCAGGCAAAAAGACCTGTATTTTTCTTCTTGCAGAAAGCCTATAAATGGACATGCAAGTAGGAAACATATTGCTAAATTCTTTTCTTAGCAAAGAATATTAATATTAAAACCCTGGGAAAAGAATGCTTTCCTGGAGAGAGGTCTATAAACCGCCGCTCTGGGAATGTCTGTTTTGTTCAGTTGAGATAAAGACTGAGATAAGCCCTGGTGTCCTGCAGAACCCTCAGGTTTACTAGGGTGGGGAAAAACTCCACCCTGGTAAATTTGTGGTCAGACTGGTTCTCTAATCTCAAACGCTGTTTTCTGTTGTTTGAGATGTTTATCAAGACAATACGTGATTGGTCTGGGAGCCAAGATGGCCGAATAGGAACAGCTCCGGTCTACAGCTCCCAGCGTGAGCGACACAGAAGACGGGTGATTTCTGCATTTCCATCTGAGGTACCGGGTTCATCTCACTAGGGAGTGCCAGACAGTGGGCGCACGTCAGTGGGTGCACGCACCGTGCGCGAGCCAAAGAAGGGTGAGGCATTGCCTCACTCGGGAAGTGCAAGGGGTTAGGGAGTTCCCTTTCCTAGTCAAAGAAAGGGGTGACAGATGGCACCTGGAAAATCGGGTCACTCCCAACCGAATACTGCACTTTTCCGATGGGCTTAAAAAACCGCGCACCAGAAGATTATATCCTGCACCTGGCTCGGAGGGTCCTATGCCAACGGAGTCTCGCTGATTGCTAGCACAGCATTCTGAGATCAAACTGCAAGGAGGCAGCGAGGCTGAGGGAGGGGCACCCGCCATTGCCCAGGCTTGCTTAGGTAAACAAAGCAGCTGCGAAGCTCGAACTCGGTGGAGCCCACCACAGCTCAAGGAGGCCTGCCTGCCTCTGTAGGCTCCACCTCCCGGGGCAGGGCACAGACAAACAAAAAGACAGCAGTAACCTCTGCAGACTTAAGTGTCCCTGTCTGACAGCTTTGAAGAGAGCAGTGGTTCTCCCAGCACGCAGCTGGAGATCTGAGAATGGGCAGACTGCCTCCTCAAGTGGGTCCCTGACCCCTGACCCCTGAGCAGCCTAACTGGGAGGCACCCCACAGCAGGGGCAGACTGACACCTCACACGGCCGGGTACTCCAACAGACCTGCAGCTGAGGGTCCTGTCTGTTAGAAGGAAAACTAACAAACAAAAAGGACATCCACACAAAAAACCCATCTGTACATCACCATCATCAAAGACCAAAAGTAGATAAAACCACAAAGATGGGGAAAAAACAGAACAGAAAAACTGGAAACTCTAAAAAGCAGAGCACCTCTCCTCCTCCAAAGGAACGCAGTTCCTCACCAGCAATGGAACAAAGCTGGACAGAGAAGGACTTTGACGAGCTGAGAGAGGAAGGCTTCACACGATCAAATTACTCCAAGCTACAGGAGGACATCCAAACCAAAGGCAAAGAAGTTGAAAACTTTGAAAAAAATTTAGAAGAATGTCTAACTAGAATAACCAATACAGAGAAGTGCTTAAAGGAGCTGATGGAGCTGAAAACCAAGGCTCAAGAACTACATGAAGAATGCAGAAGACTCAGGAGCCGATGTGATCAACTGGAAGAAAGGGTATCAGCGATGGAAGATGAAATGAATGAAATGAAGCGAGAAGGGAAGTTTAGAGAAAAAAGAATAAAAAGAAACGAGCAAAGCCTCCAAGAAATATGGGACTAAGTGAAAAGACAAAATCTATGTCTGATTGGTGTACCTGAAAGTGACGGGGAGAATGGAACCAAGTTGGAAAACACTCTGCAGGATATTATCCAGGAGAACTTCCCCAATCTAGCAAGGCCAACATTCAGATTCAGGAAATACAGAGAACGCCACAAAGATACTCCTCGAGAAGAGCAACTCCAAGACACATAATTGTCAGATTCACCAAAGTTGAAATGAAGGAAAAAATGTTAAGGGCAGCCAGAGAGAAAGTTCGGGTTACCCTCAAAGGGAAGCCCATCAGACTAACAGCGGATCTCTCGGCAGAAACTCTGCAAGCCAGAAGAGAGTGGGGGCCAATAGTCAACATTCTTAAAGAAAAGAATTTTCAACCCAGAATTTCATATCCAGCCAAACTAAGCTTCATAAGTGAAGGAGAAATAAAATGCTTTACAGACAAGCAAATGCTGAGAGATTTTGTCACCACCAGGCCTGCCCTAAAAGAGCTCCTGGAGGAAGCGCTAAACATGGAAAGGAACAACCGGTACCAGCCTCTGCAAAATCATGCCAAAATGTAAAGACCATCGAGACTAGGAAGAAACTGCATGAACTAATGAGCAAAATAACCAGCTATCATCAGAATGACAGGATCAAATTCACACATAACAATATTAACTTTAAATGTAAATGGACTAAATGCTCCAATTAAAAGACACAGACTGGCAAATTGGATAAAGAGTCAAGATCCATCAGTCTGCTGTATCCAGGAAACCCATCTCATGTGCAGAGACACACATAGGCTCAAAATAAAAGGATGGAGGAAGATCTACCAAGCAAATGGAAAACAAAAAAAGGCAGGGGTTGCAATCCTAGTCTCTGATAAAACAGACTTTAAACCAACAAAGATCAAAAGAGACAAAGAAGGCCATTACATAATGGTAAAGGGATCAATTCAACAAGAAGATGTAACTATCCTAAATATATATGCACCCAATACAGGAGCACCCAGATTCATAAAGCAAGTCCTGAGTGACCTACAAAGAGACTTAGACTCCCACACATTAATAATGGGAGACTTTAACACCCCACTGTTAACATTAGACAGATCAACGAGACAGAAAGTCAACAAGGATACCCAGGAATTGAACTCATCTCTGCACCAAGCAGACCTAATAGACATGTACAGAACTCTCCACCCGAAATCAACAGAATATACATTTTTTTCAGCACCACACCACACCTATTCCAAAATTGACCACATACTTGGAAGTAAAGCACTCCTAAGCAAATGTAAAAGAACAGAAATTATAACAAACTATCTCTCAGACCACCATGCAATCAAACTAGAACTCAGGATTAAGAATCTCACTCAAAACCACTCAACTACATGGAAACTGAACAACCTGCTCCTGAATGACTACTGGGTACATAAGGAAATGAAGGCAGAAATAAAGATGTTCTTTGAAACCAATGAAAACAAAGACACAACATACCAGAATCTCTGGGAGGCATTCAAAGCAGTGTGTAGAGGGAAATTCATAGCACTAAAGGCCCACAAGAGAAAGCAGGAAAGATCCAAAATTGACACCATAACATCACAATTAAAAGAACTAGAAAAGCAAGAGCAAACACATTCAAAAGCTAGCAGAAGGCAAGAAATAACTAAAATCAGAGCAGAACTGAAGGAAATAGGGACACAAAAAACCCTTCAAAAAATTAATAAATCCAGGAGCTGGTTTTCTGAAAGGATCAACAAAATTGATAAACCACTAGCAAGGTTAATAAAGAAGAAAAGAGAGAAGAATCAAATAGACGCAATAAAAAATGACAAAGGGGATATCACCACCGATCTCACAGAAATACACACTACCATCAGAGAATACTACAAACACCTCTACGCAAATAAACTGGAAAATCTAGAAGAAATGGATAAATTCCTCAACACATACACTCTCCCAATACTAAACCAGGAAGAAGTTGAATCTCTGAATAGACCAATAACAGGATCTGAAATTGTGGCAATAATCAATAGCTTACCAACCAAAAAGAGTGCAGGACCAGAAGGATTCACAGCCGAATTCTACCAGACATACAAGGAGGAACTGGTACCATTCCTTCTGAAACTATTCCAATCAATAGAAAAAGAGGGAATCCTCCCTAACTCATTTTATGAGGCCAGCATCATCCTGATACCAAAGCCAGGCAGAGACACAACAAAAAAAGAGAATTTTAGACCAATATCCTTGATGAACACTGATGCAAAAATCCTCAATAAAATACTGGCAAACCGAATCCAGCAGCACATCAAAAAGCTTATCCACCATGATCAAGTGGGCTTCATCCCTGGGATGCAAGGCTGGTTCAATATGCGCAAATCAATGAATGTAATCCAGCATATAAACAGAACCAAAGACAAAAACCACATGATTATCTCAATAGATGCAGAAAAGGCCTTTGACAAAATTCAACAACCCTTCATGCTAAAAACTCTCAATAAATTAGGTATTGATGGGACGTATTTCAAAATAATAAGAGCTATCTATGACAAACCCACAGCCAATATCATACTGAATGGGCAAAAACTGGAAGCATTCCCTTTGAAAACTGGCACAAGACAGGGATGCCCTCTCTCACCACTCCTATTCAACATAGTGTTGGAAGTTCTGGCCAGGGCAATTAGGCAGGAGAAGGAAATAAAGGGTATTCAATTAGGAAAAGAGGAAGTCAAATTGTCCCTGTTTGCAGACGACATGATTGTATATTTAGAAAACCCCATTGTCTCAGCCCAAAATCTCCTTAAGCTGATAAACAACTTCAGCAAAGTCTCAGGATACAAAATCAATGTACAAAAATCACAAGCATTCTTATACACCAACAACAGACAAACAGAGAGCCAAATCATGAGTGAACTCCCATTCACAATTGCTTCAAAGAAAATAAAATACCTAGGAATCCAACTTACAAGGGATGTGAAGGACCTCTTCAAGGAGAACTACAAACCACTGCTCAAGGAAATAAAAGAGGATACAAACAAATGGAAGAACATTCCATGCCCATGGGTAGGAAGAATCAATATCATGAAAATGGCCATACTGCCTAAGATAATTTACAGATTCAATGCTATCCCCATCGAGCTATCAATGACTTTCTTCTCAGAATTGGAAAAAACTACTTTAAAGTTCATATGGAACCAAAAAAGAGCCTACATTGCCCAGTCAATCCTAAGCCAAAAGAACAAAGCTGGAGGCATCACACTACCTGACTTCAAACTACACTACAAGGCTACAGTAACCAAAACAGCATGGTACTGGTACCAAAACAGAGATATAAATCAATGGAACAGAACAGAGCCCTCAGAAATAATGCCGCATATCTACAACTATCTGATCTTTGACAAACCTGAGAAAAACAAGCAATGGGGAAAGGATTCCCTGTTTAATAAATGGTGCTGGGAAAACTGGCTAGCCATATGTAGAAAGCTGAAACTGGATCCCTTCCTTACACCTTATACAAAAATTAATTCAAGATGGATTGAAGACTTAAACGTTAGACCTAAAACCATAAATACCCTAGAAGAAAACCTAGGCATTACCATTCAGGACATAGGCATGGGCAAGGACTTCATGTCTAAAACACCAAAAGCAATGGCAACAAAAGCCAAAATTGACAAATGGTATCTAATTAAACTAAAGAGCTTCTGCACAGCAAAAGAAACTACCATCAGAGTGAACAGGCAACCTACAAAATGGGAGAAAATTTTCGCAACCTACTCATCTGACAAAGGGCTGATATCCAGAATCTACAATGAACTCAAACAAATTTACAAGATAAAAACAAACAACCCCATCAAAAAGTGGGCAAAGGATATGAACAGACACTTCTCAAAAGAAGACATTTATGCAGCCAAAAAACACATGAAAAAATCCTCACCATCACTGGCCATCAGAGAAATGCAAATCAAAACCACAATGAGATACCATCTCACACCAGTTACAATGGCAATCATTAAAAAGTCAGGAAACAACAGGTGCTGGAGAGGATGTGGAGAAATAGGAACACTTTTACACTGTTGGTGGGACTGTAAACTAGTTCAACCACTGTGGAAGACAGTGTGGTGATTCCTCAAGGACCTAGAACTAGAAATACCATTTGATCCAGCCATCCCATTACTGGGTTTATACCCAAAGTATTATAAATCATGCTGCTATAAAGACACATGCACACGTATGTTTATTGCGGCATTATTCACAATAGCAAAGACTTGGAACCAAAGGGAATGTGTGTGTGTGTGTGTGTGTGTGTGTGTGTGTGTGTGTGTGTGTGTTTGCCATTATTTCTCCCAAATTTTATGTTGTCTAGCTCCAGTGTTCAGGGCTTTGAGAAAAGCACAGTTTTAATTTCTAGTGATGGGATTTAAAAAAATGAAAAGTCAGAAAACTTGAATTAAAAAAATGAAAACATTATTTTGAAAACTTGTAGCCAGGGAAGAATTCAGGATCCAGTCTAGATAAATTGTAGACAAATAATAAAAACTGAAAATCAATGGACAAGGTTAGAATCTAATAGCAGGTGTTATAGTTTCTTTTGAAATCTAATTTTTCATTCTCTCATCCCCTATTTGTACCAAAGATAAATCATAGTAAGACCAATTTATTTGTACAATAAGTTTTAGTCTTGTTATACTTGGCCTGATTATTTGCATAAAGTAAAGCAAGAATAATTATTGATCAATGGACTCCTTTTGAATTGAATTTGCTGAAGCTTTTTCATAAAGAATCTCTGATTAGACTTTTAAAGGCCTCTTGAGCTCAGCCAAAGGTTTATCTGTGTCTGCAAATACTTGTATGATTTGGGTGCATTCCTTTCTACTCAAGGTTCCCAAATAACTTGAGGTTTCTGGGCCTGCTGGATAGTGGCATTCTTTACTTCCCACAGATCAGGAATTCTGTAAAGAAACAGAATAGACAAAGTATGAAGCCAGCCTTTCCAAGGGGATTTTATTAGCTCTATACAGTTAATTTCAATTCCTCAAAGCAGTCTATTTATATTTGAAAATATGCCATTCCAGTTAAGGCCTTGGTAAAATAACCAGTGTCTCCAACTGTGTCCTATTACAAGAGAAAACAGATTCTTATAGAAATTATGCAAAAACTATATTGTCATAAATTAAGAATACTTATAAATTGTTTCCAAAATCTGGCAAAATCAGGTAGTGAGAAATGTTTTAAATTTTGCTCAGAAGAGTATACTTTACTGAATTGTTTAAAAGCTGTTAAATAGCTTAATAGAAAAAAGTTTTCTTGACTCTGAAAAACAAGATGAAAAGAATCAGCAATGTTTCAAACAAAAAACAGTCATAAAAATTATGTCATTCCTCTATTCAGTCCATAGCAATTAATTCATTCCATTTGGTATTGGGGTTAGTAATCTTGTGAACACATCAGCTCTTCAACAAGACACTTGGAAGTTTTATTTTTATTTATTTTTTTCTCTAGTCCAATGACACAATCTCCAAGGTTATCAGAAACCTGCATGTGAGAGCACCTGTCAGAGTCCTTTCAGTGATCTTTCCTAATGAAGCATGTTTTAGCTAACACCTGATTGTAAACTGCTTTTTGAGAAGGATCAAAGTAAATAACTGCCTGTGGTTGACAAAAGTCTTAAGATAGCCATGGTCAAAGACACAATTGACAAAAAATTGATAATTTCTGTGGCATACAAGTTAACATAATAATCATAATTATTATTAATATTATATACTAAAACATTAGAATTATAGAAATTTCATACTATTTTGGAACACATATCAATACCACATTTATAAAAATAGAACCTAAAGAAAGTTAACCATCACTTCATATTGGACAGTACTTCCTATGTGATCTTATTATATCAAGTAAGGTGAATATGTCTCTTTTTGAACTTCAGGGGATTGTATATCTAAAAATAAGACCTAATGAAGATGGCACAAGGCCAAGGGAATCTTTTTTTCTCTCCCCTGTTTGTTTTTCTCAGTTTACCAAAAAAAGAGAGATTTTACTATTTCTTAATATTACATAAAAATCTTATTCAAAAGAGAAAATCAAATTTTACCTTTGCATAGTGTCTACTATTAATGCTAAAGCTAAATTTTAATAAAATCCTACCTTCTCTTTAATAAAAACTATATCTGCATGTCTTTTTACAATGCTTTTACTAAAAGCACATCCTACTTTTTAAAAATATTTTCTGTATAGAATTGTTTCTCTTATATCAAGTAGGTTTTTGTTTTGTTTTGTTTGTTTTGTTTAAGACAGGGTCTCACTCTCACTCAGGCTAGAATACAGTGGCATGATCTAGGCTCACTGCAACCCTTACTGCCTGGGCTCAAGCGATTCTTCCACCTCAGCCTCCCAAGTAGCTGGAACTACAGGTGCACACCACACCCAGCTGCTTTTTGTAGTTTTTGTAGAGGCAGAGTTTTTCCATGTTGCCCAAGCTGATCTGGAACTCCTGACATCAAGCAATCTGCCTACCTCGGCCTCCCAAAGGGCTGGGACTACGGGCATGAACCAGTGCAGTGGACTAGTAGTTCTAAATATAAATATTAATTATTATAGTAACACTTAGTAACCCTCATTTTTAGAAAAAAAATCTTTAAACAAGCAATTTTAATTATATATCAGATGTAAGGTCCAGAACAAAGGAAAATCCCTGAATTTAGGCCTCATCATGACCCTGAGAGGCTCAAATCTAAAAAGTTTATAGACAAGTTAAGCAAGTATCAAAAGTACTACAGAAGCAAACATTGATGTCTTAAAACATTTATCAGAGGAAGCATCTGACCAATAAACCAATGGACTCATACAAAATGTCAAAATTAAATTTGAAGATGTTTCTGTTTTATTACAACAATAATTTTGAAGTGTCTTTGTTTATGAAAGATTACTAAAGTTAGGTGAACTAAAACATTTGAGTTGAAGTTTCTGTTTTTGATAAAATATTTAACTGCTAGCTTTTAAAGCCAATTAATAAGTTGTTTTATTTATCATGGTAGTGAAACATCACATAAACATGACACGTATAAAGACATAGAATAAAGACACAGAAACAGATCTTACAGATTATAAGATTCTTCATTTACCAATTCTCAAAGTTTCTCTCCCCACTTTAGTCTATCAGTCTTTTCCAATTACCTGTTTTATTGCCCTAGGCAATTGTTAGCTAGGCAACCCTAAATTTGCATTTTGAAAGGTATAACTCTTAGGTGAAACTTAATAGAAAAGTTTCATCTAAAAATACAGAGATAGAGAATTTAAGCTTTCCTTTTTTAAGAAGTTTGGGTGTGTTAGAGAAAGATTAAAAAAATAGAAAGGTAACCAAAAATTATACAAATTTATTATAGGATTTTACAAGGAGACCAATTTTATTCAGATAAGTGCTTTTAATTTAGTCTATCTTTTAACTAGACCATTGATCTCAGAGTGGAGCTCATACTGAAACTTGTGTCAGAGGAGTTCAAAACAGAGATACTACACCTTGAGTGAAGGCTATGAAAATGAGGCTGGGACTTGCTGGGCTGCATTCCCAGAAAGTTAGGTATTCATAGCCTCTAGATGTTTATGGTTAAGGACCCAAATTAATAATGTTCACTAAACAGACCCAGACTTAGGAGTGTCCAGATACCCTGACATCTGGGGAACGAAGGCATTCCTAATTTTGCTTTAAAGATAATAATATTGATTCTTGCAAAGTATAGTAATTAAGAAAATTAATCCTTCATCACAAACGCTTGTAGCAGAGCACATCTCTCCATATATACAAGCATTGTACCTAGGATGGACACGTTCCTCCTCTTTCTTTTGGGATCATCCTACTCTGTCTATGGACTAGTTGTACTTCCCCACTTTATTTTCTTAATAAACTAGCTTTTGCTTTGCACTGCAGACTCGCCCTGAATTTTTTCTTGTGTGAGATCCAAGAACCCTCTCTTGGGGTCTGGTTCGGGATCCCTTTCCTGTAACACTTGAGTTCTCAAAATAATAAATGCCATGAAGACTGGGCCACACAACATTTTCACAGTTTATTTAGCTACAAAGACATTCCCTGGGGCTGGTGGGAAACCCAACACCAATCAGCCTACTCTGTGATCAGCCTACTCTCCACTCATTATACACACCAAAGTCAATTTTTTTGCAATGGAAAGTAATTTCTAGTGCCCTCTCCCCGTCACCCCCGACAAAGCTAAAAAGATTAGGCAATGCAATGCAAAAAAGAAGAGAGTTTTAGATCTGAGAGGACACTGTCCATTTGTAACCTTTGAGATTCCTTGAGGTAGAAACAGAAATTTCTTCCAAGAAGGAGTCTGTGATGCCTTCTGTACTTTTTATTTAGGGATTTCAGGCTGTTAGAATATTTGTTGTTCCCAAATGCGGCAGAGAGAGTAGCAAATGGAAAGAGGGGCCAATAGAAATAAATAAGAAAACAATGAGAGCACGTGTGGCTAACAGGGATTTAAAAAGAAATAAATTTAGTTTTAGAGACACAGAGAGAGAGAGTATAAGGCCTCTGCTCTCTCTCTCTAAACATTTCAATAAAGTTGATATTTAGACTATGTAGTAGCCTAAATATCAATTTTTATGAAGCCAACTTTTGAGTATAGAGCTCTTAAAAAGTACTTTCAAATCTCTTATTAGATTTTTGCTGGGACAAAGACCATTGAAAGATTACTAAAGTTATGTGAGCTAAAATATATTTGAGTTGAAGTTTCTATGTTTCTGTTAAAATATTTAATTGCTAACTTTTAAAGCCAATTAAGAATCAAACCCATGCCATGAAAGTGAAAGTGCAGAATTTTAACTATTAAGTCATAAAGTGGAGTGGCCTTTGTGTTCCCTAATTAGGTAGCAAACATAAGCCATGACAGAAATTTTAATTACCAGAGCCATTTTAGGTCAGCTTTTGCTCTTAATTTAGTCAAGAGAATTTTTAACGCTAGCCATTGCATTATTGTGTGTCCTTTTAAAATGTGCTATTTTCATTAATTGTTTAGAATAAGAGATCTCTAAAATCTTTAAATTAATAGCACAGAAAGAAAGGGTAGGAAGGTCGTCTGGTTATGTAAATAAAACTCCTCAGACAGTCAAATTCTTTATCTTTCTTAATCAGCCAGGGTTTTTTTAGGTGGAACTTGACTTTCTGCAGCTGCAAGGTTTCCAGAAGATATCAGAGGGGCCAAAAGTTGGTCAAATCTAACAGAAGTGAACTAAACCAAAAAAGGAAAAGGAATGATCATGCAATTTACATATGGTCAATGTCAGGCCTCTGAGCCCAAGCCAAGCCATCACATCCCGTGACTTGCACGTATATGCCCAGATAGCCTGAAGTAACTGAAGAATCACAAAAGAAGTGAAAAGGCCCTGCCCCGACTTAACTGATGACATTCCACCATTGTGATTTGTACCTGCCCCACCTTAACTGAGTGATTAACCCTGTGAATTTCCTTCTCCTGGCTCAGAAGCTCCCCCACTGAGCACCTTGTGACCCCCGCCCCTGCCCACCAGAGAACAACCCCCTTTGACTGTCATTTTCCATTACCTTCCCAAATCCTATAAAACGGCCCCTCCCCTATCTCCCTTCATTGACTCTCTTTTCGGACTCAGCCCACCTGCACCCAGGTGAAATAAACAGCTTTATTGTTCACACAAAGCCTGTTTGGTGGTCTCTCCACACGGACGTGCATGAAATTTGGTGCCGTGACTCAGATCGGGGGACCTCCCTTGGGAGATCAATCCCCCATCCTCCTGCTCTTTGCTCCCTGAGAAAGATCCACTTACAACCTCAGGTCCTCAGACTGACCAGCCCAAGAAACATCTCACCAATTTCAAATCCGGTAAGCGGCCTCTTTTTACTGTCTTCTCCAACCTCCCTCACTATCCCTCAACCTCTTTCTCCTTTCAATCTTGGCACCACTCTTCAATCTCTCTCTTCTCTTAATTTCAATTCCTTTCATTTTCTGGTAGAGATAAAGGAGACATGTTTTATCCGTGGACCCAAAACTCCGGCGCCGGTCACGGACTGGGAAGGCAGCCTTCCCTTGGTGTTTAATTATTGCAGGGACGCCTCTCTGATTATTCACCCACGTTTCAAAGGTGTCAGACCACGCAGGGATGCCTGCCTTGGTCCTTCACCCTTAGCGGCAAGTCCTGCTTTTCTGGGGAAGGGGCAAGTACCCCAACCCCTTCTCTCCTTGTCTCTACCCTTTCTCTGCTTTTCTGGGGAAGGGGCAAGTACTCAAACCCCTTCTCTCTGTGTCTCTACCCCTTCTCTGCTTTTCTGGGGGAGGGGCAAGTACCCCTCAACCCCTTCTCCTTCACCCTTAGCGGCAAGTCCCGCTCTTCTGGGGGAGGGACAATTACCCCTCAACCCCTTCTCCTTCACCCTTAGCTGCAAGTTCTGCTTTTCTAGGAGGCAAGAACACCCAATCCCTTATTTCTGAACCCTGACCTCTTATCTCTGTGCCCCAATCCCTTATTTCTGCACCCTAACCTCTTATCTCTGTGCCCCAATCCCTTATTTCCATGCCCCAACCCTTTCTCTGCTTTTCTGGAGGGCAAGAAATCCCCACCCCTTCTCCGTGTCTCTACTCTTTTCTCTGGGCTTGCCTCCTTCACTATGGGCAAGCTTCCACCTTCCATTCCTCCTTCTTCTCCCTTAGCCTGTATTCTTAAGAACTTAAAACCTCTTCAACTCTCACCTGACCTAAAATCTAAGCATCTTATTTTCTTCTGCAATGCTGCTTGACCCCAATACAAACTCGACAGTAGTTCCAAATAGCCAGAAAATGGCACTTTCAATTTTTCCATCCTACAAGATCTAAATAATTCTTGTCGTAAAATGGGCAAATGGTCTGAGGTGCCTGACGTCCAGGCATTCTTTTACACATCAGTCCCTTCCTAGTCTCTGTGCCCAGTGCAATTCATCTCAAATCTTCCTTCTTTCCCTCCCACCTGTCCCCTCAGTCCCAACCCCAAGCTTCGCTGAGTCTTTCTAATCTTCCTTTTCTACAGACCCATCTGACCTCTCCCCTCCTCGCCAGGCTGAGCTAGGTCCCAATTCTTCCTCAGGCTCTGCTCCTCCACCCTATAATCCCTTTATCACCTCCCCTCCTCACACCTGGTCCAGCTTACAGTTTCATTCGGTGACTAGCCCTCCCCCACCTGCCCAGCAATTTACTCTTAAAAAGGTGGCTGGAGCCAAAGGCATAGTCAAGGTTAATGCTCCTTTTGCTTTATCCCAAATCAGAAGCATTTAGGCTCTTTTTCATCAAATATAAAAACCCAGCCCAGTTCATGGCTCATTCAGCAGCAACCCTGAGACGTTTTACAGCCCTAGACCCTAAAATGTCAAAAGGTCATCTTATTCTCAATATACATTTTATTACCCAATCTGCTCCTGACATTAAATAAAACTCCAAAAATTGGAATCTGGCCCTCAAACCCCACAACAGGACTTAATTAACTTCACCTTCAAGGTGTACAATAATAGAAAAAAAAGTTGCAATTCCTTGCCTCCACTGTGAGACAAACCCCAGCCATATCTCCAGCCCACAAGAACTTCCAAATGCCTGAACCGCAGCGGCCAGCAATTCCTCCAGAACCTCATCCCCCAGGAGCTTGCTACAAGTGCCAGAAATCTGACCACCAGGCCAAGGAATGCCTGCAGCCCAGGATTCCTCCTAAGCCGTGTCCCATCTGTGCAGGACCCCGTTGGAAATCAGACTGTTCAACTCACCTGGCAGCCACTCCCAGAGCCCCTGGAACTCTGGCCCAGGGCTCTCTGACTGACTCCTTCTTGGCTTAGCAGCTGAAGACTGATGCTGCCCGATTGCCTCGGAAGCCCCGTAGACCATCACGGACGCCGAGCTTTAAGTAACTCTCACAGTGGAGGGTAAGTCCGTCCCCTTCTTAATCAATACGGAGGCTACCCACTCCACATTACCTTCTTTTCAAGTGCCTGTTTCCCTTGCCTCCATAACTGTTGTGGATATTGACAGCCAGGCTTCTAAACCTCTTAAAACTCCCCAACTCTGGTGCCAACTTAGACAGTACTCTTTTATGCACTCTTTTTTAGTTATCCCCACCTGCCCAGTTCCCTTATTAGGCCAAGATATTTTAACCAAATTATCTGCTTCCCTGACTATTCCTGGACTACAGCCACATCTCATTGCTTCACTTCTTCCCAATCCAAAGCCTCCTTTGCGTCCTCCTCTTGTATTCCCCCACCTTAACCCACAAGTATAAGATACCTCTACTCCCTCCTTGGTGACCCATCATGCACCCCTTACCATCTCATTAAAACCTAATCACCCCTACCCCGCTCAATGCCAATATCCCACCCCACAGCAGGCTTTGAAAGGATTAAAGCCTGTTATCACTCACCTGCTACAGCATGACCTTTTAAAGCCTATAAACTCCCCTTACAATTCCCCCATTTTACCTGTCCTGAAACCAGACAAGCCTTACAAGTTAGTTCAGGATCTGTGCCTTATTGACCAAATTGTTTTGCCTATCCACCCCATGGTGCCAAACCCATATACTCTCCTATCCTCAATACCTCCCTCCACAATCCATCATTCTGTTCTGGATCTCAAACATGTTTTCTTTACTATTCCTTTGCACCCGTCATCCCAGCCTCTCTTCGCTTTCACTTGGACTGACCCTGACACCCATCAGGCTCAGCAAATTACCTGGGCTGTACTGCCGCAAGACTTCACAGACAGCCCCCATTACTTCAGTCAAGCCCAAATTTCATCCTCATCTGTTACCTATCTCGGCATAATTCTCGTAAAAACACACGTGCTCTCCCTGCTGATTGTGTCTGATTAATCTCCCAAACCTCAATCCCTTACAAAACAACTCCTTTCCTTCCTAGGCATGGTTAGTGCGGTCAGAATTCTTACACAAGAGCCAGGACCGCACCCTGTAGCCTTTCTGTCCAAACAACTTGACCTTACTGTTTTAGCCTAGCCCTCATGTCTGCGTGCAGCAGCTGCCACTGCTTTAATACTTTTAGAGGCCCTCAAAATCACAAACTATGCTCAGCTCACTCTCTACAGTTCTCATAACTTCCAAAATCTATTTTCTTCCTCATACCTGACGCATATACTTTCTGCGCCCTGGCTCCTTCAGCTGTACTCACTCTTTGTTAAGTCCCACAATTACCATTGTTCCTGGCCTGGACTTCAATCCAGCCTCCCACATTATTCCAGATACCACACCTGACCCTCATGACCACATCTCTCTGATCCACCTGATGTTCATCCCATTTCCCCACATTTCCTTCTTCCTTGTTTCTTACCCTGATCACACTTGATTTATTGATGGCAGTTCCACCAGGCCTAATCACCACACACCAGTAAAGGCAGGCTATGCTATAGTACAAGCCACTAGCCCACCTCTTAGAACCTTTCATTTCCTTTCCATCGTAGAAATCTATCCTCAAGGAAATAACTTCTCAGTGTTCCATCTGCTATTCTATCTGCTATTCTACTACTCCTCAAGGATTATTCAGGCCCCCTCCCTTCCCTACACATCAAGCTCGAGGATTTGCACCCGCCCAGGACTGGCAAGTTAGCTTTACTCAACATGCCCTGAGTCACAAAAACTAAAATACCTCTTAGTCTAAGTAGACACTTTCACTAGATAGGTAGAGTCCTTTCCTACAGGATCTGAGAAGGCCACCACAGTTATTTCTTCCCTTCTGTCAGACATAATTCCTCAGTTTAGCCTTCCCACCTCTATACAGTCTGATAACAGACCAGCCTTTATTAGTCAAATATTCAGTTACAGACTAATGGTCTATCAAAAACACACCTCACCAAGCTCAGCCACCAACTTAAAAAGGACTGGACAATACTTTTACCACTTTCCTTTCTCAGAAGTCAGACCTGTCCTCAGAATGCTACAAGGTACAGCCCATTTAAGCTCCTGTATAGCCAGACACCAGACCAACTTAGACTGTGACTCCTATTCACCATTTTCAACTACTCATACATGCCCTGCTCTTGTTTACACTGCCAGTTTACACTGTTTCTCCAAGCCATCACAGCTGATATCTCCTCCTCGTGCTATCCCCAAACTGCCACTCTTAACTCTTGAAGTAAATAAATAATCTTTGCTGGCAGGACTATGCTGAACCTCCTTAGGCGCTCTCTAATTAGATGTCCTAGGTCCTCCCAATTCTTAGTCCTTTTATGCCTGTTTTTCTCTTTCTCTTATTCCATTTAGTTTTTCAATTCATACAAAACCATATCCAGGCCATCACCAATCATTCTATACGACACATGTTTCTTCTAACAACCCCACAGTATCACCCCTTACCACAAGATCTCCCTTCAGCTTAATCTCTCCCACTCTAGGTTCCCACACCGCCCCTAATCCCGCTTGAAGCAGCCCTGAGAAACATCGCCCATTCTCTCTCCATACCACCCCCCAAAAATTTTCGCTACCCCAACACTTCAACACTATTTTGTTTTATTTTTCTTATTAATATAAGAAGGCAGGAATGTCAGGCCTCTGAGCCCAAGCCAAGCCATCACATCCCCTGTGACTTGCACGTATACACCCAGACGGCCTGAAGTAACTGAAGAATCACAAAAGAAGTGAAAAGGCCCTGCCCCGACTTAACTGATGACATTCCACCATTGTGATTTGTTCCTGCCCCACCTTAACTGAGTGATTAACCCTGTGAATTTCCTTCTCCTGGCTCAGAAGCTCCCCCACTGAGCACCTTGTGACCCCCGCCCCTGCCCACCAGAGAACAACCCCCTTTGACTGTAATTTTCCATTACCTTCCCAAATCCTATAAAACGGCCCCACCCCTATCTCCCTTCACTGACTCTCTTTTCGGACTCAGCCCACCTGCACCCAGGTGAAATAAACAGCTTTATTGCTCACACAAAGCCTGTTTGGTGGTCTCTTCACACGGACGCACATGAAAGTCAAGATCTCTCAGAAGTTATAGCCAGCTGACAGTAAACCTTGACTTTCGGCTATCCAATCCCAAAATAATGCCCCAAACCTGCTCCTTACCCCTAAATAAGGCCCAAGCTAAAGACTACTTTTCATCTTTAAAGACACAGAAAACTCCCAGAAAAGGAGTTCTGCAGCAGAAAAAACTTCAGATCTCAACCAAAAAAATTTGGAAGATTAGTACTCTCTGGAGGGAGAAGCTCCTGGCCCTCAGCACACCATCCAGTCAGAATGATAAAGAACTCCACCTGGTACCAGGACCTGACAGGAAAATTACTTCAGACCAAGGGCCAAACTCCACTCGGAGAATCTCTTTGCAGTTACCAAAATGTAAACTAAAAGGTGACTGAGACAGATTTCAATTGATTAGAGGTTTATTTTGCCAAGATTAAGGATGCACCCAGGGGAAAAAAAAAAAAAAACACAAAGTGCAGTAGAATCTCTAACCTGTGCTTTTTCCAAAGAGGGCTTGGAAACTTCAATGCGCAAAGGGAAAATAACAAGCAGTAAAGAAAGAAAAAAAAGGAGAGAGGATAGGCAATGAGACAAGTGGTTACATTCCCATGAGGCTCTGATTAGTGCTCATTGAATCTACATTTTACATGTGAAAAGAAGGGTGTAGTGGGGAAGTCAATTATGCATTCCTCTAACTCTGTATGTTACAGACGATAAAGTAAGTATCTGAAATTATAGCTGTTAAAGAACAAAAGCAAGGTAGTTTTTTTGTACCCAAGCTTAAATTTCCCTTTAGCACAGTGAGTTTAGAGTCCCAAGATTTTATTTTTCTTTTATACCTTCAAAGGAACATAAACACTGCTTTATCTCTCTCTCTCTACATATACATAATAAATTAATATATATTATATATAAATTGAAATATTTATATATGGTTCATGCCTCTAATTTCAGCACTTCTGGAGGTGCGGGCAGGAGGATTGCTTGAGCCCAGGAGTTGGAGATCAGTCTGGACAACATAGTGATACACTATCTCTACAAAAAATTAAAACATTATCAAGTCATGGTGGCATGTGTCTGCAGTCTCAGCTACTTGGAGGCTGAGGTGGCAGGATCACTTGAGCTTAGCAGGTTGGGCCTACAGTGAGCCATGATCAAACCACTGCACTCCAGCCTAAGCAACAGAGCAAGATCCTGTCTTAAAAAATATATATGTGTGTGTGTGTGTGTGTGTGTGTATGTGTGTGTTTGAGTGTATTATGTTTCATACTAAAAATGTGAATGTGCCTATTTTTTTTTTTTACTTGAATATCTGTAGAGGTTTTGCTTTTGCAAGTGTGGCCCAGGACCTTAATTTGGGATTAAGGTATATAGAAAGATGTGAATTGCTGGTCATAATCAGATGGGCTCATTAGAGAAAGAGATGCTAGACTGTAGACCACTACAAATATCCCTTACTTTCTATTTTATATTTTAGGACTTGTTACAGGATTGCTGGATACATATATCTAGAGTCCCTTAAATACTATAGCATTCTCCTATGGCACACCTATTACCATCTCATCTCATTGTTACTTACATGTATCAGTTAGTATCTTTACATATGTGAAAATAATGTTCACATTTTTTGTTTCTGATAATTAGATAAGAAAATGCTAATTATGCAACATAAAATTGATGATAACGTGTCATCATTAAGCTGAGAATTAAAAATGCGATAAAATTTAGAATTTAATAAAGCCCTGGTTGTAAAGTGAGATTGCCAAATAAGAATAAATGGCATCCAATTATAAGGTAACTTCTGGTAGAGACATCTACAACTTCTGTAATAATGGGTCATGAAATCAGAAATAATTTAGCTAAGTAGAGTCATCTGAATTTTAGTAATTAATAGAAGCAGCTAAGTGAAACTTGTTAGCTACTTATCTGTACTACACGGCAATGTAAAAACTAAAGTTTTGGGAGGCCGAGGCGGGCATATCACCTGAGGTCAGGAGTTTGAGACCAGCCTGCCCAACATGGTGAAACCTCATTTCTACTAGAAATACAAAAAATTAGCCAGGTGTGGTGGTGGGTGCCTGTAATTCCAGCTACTGGGGAGGCTGAGGCAGGAGAATTGCTTGAACCCGGGAGTTGGAGGTTGCAGTGAGCCAAGATCGTGTCTCTGCACTTGGGGGACAAGAGCGAAACTCTGTCTCAAAAAAAAAAAAAAGAAAAACAGAAACAAAAAACTAAAGTTTTTTACTTTTAAGCCATGCAGTTAGGTAGGCTTAGCTCATTCACATATGCAAAAAATTACTTATTGGCCATCGTTTCCTTGTTAATGTTCTAGGAACTGGGGAAACAGATTAACCACACATAATGTCTTTGTTCTAATGGAGCTAGCATTGTTGTACAGAGTGAAAGAAACCAAATGAAAACAGTTTTGTAAATCAAATAATTTATATAGTAATAACTGCTCAAAACAAGTAAGCTACGCCTTATTATAGTGGTTGACAAAAATTATAAACAATGTGGACAGGGAAGTTCCCTAAAGATGCAGCACTTAGTGAATATTTAAACATGCGGAAGCTGAAAGAAATGCAAATTCTGAGGGAAGGGAACTAAGTACTGTGAAAGCTCATTTATTTATTTCTTTTTTCTGCAGATGATTCTCAGACATTGTGTGTGTGTTTTCATTCACATGCATTTGCGCACATGTGCACAGTGTGCCAGACACTGCTTACGACAGAGCAGATATGGCAATGAGCAAAATAAATAAAAGTTTCTACCTTACGGAGCTTACCTTCTAGTGGTGAGAAAATAATAAACAAGAAAAATAAATATCTAATATGTTACATGCTGATACATGTAAAGATAACAATAAAGCTGGTCAAGGGAGAGGGAGTCATGGGAGCGAGCAGGATTGCAATTTTAAAGGACAGCCCAGAAAGAGTGACATGAACCAACTTGTGAAGGATGTGAGAGAGCAACACACAATTCTAGGGGAAGGGCAGGACTCATAGGTATTAGTAACATCAACTAAAAATGCTCTACTGTGAAAGTTTGCCTGAAGAATTGAATGGACAGCCAGGAGGTAAATGAGCTAAAGCAGATTGGGGAGCGTGAGACTAGTAGTGAAAGAGGACAGACAGGTAATGAGGGATCCACCTTCTAAGCCTTGTAAGCCATTGTTAGGACTTTGGCTTTTTAAAATAAAATGTGAGTCCACTGGAGAGTCTTATGCAGAATAATTATATATTCAAATAAATTTAAAAAATTCAGTCAGGCTGCTGGCAGAGAACAGGCAGCCTAAAGGGAAACAAAGGCCAACTTGAAAAGGTGGGTTAGGCTATAGTCATTATCTAGGTAAAAAGATGTCAATCTTTGTCTTGGTAACAGTGATAGTGGTGAGAAGCGGCAGGATCTACATAAATATAGAAGGTCCAAAGGAAAATATTTCTTGGTTAGTTGATTTAAAATGTTAATTCAGGTATACAGTAACTTGAAACACATTTTTAAAATTATGGGATGCGGTTGTTCAGGAAAGCATTACAACTTGAAATCCAGAATTGTACTACTGATTATTTCTGTCTGCTAATTTTATTCCTTAGTTTATCCAATAATTTCTGTGCATTTAGTACATGTCAGATACTTTTGTAGGAGCCAAGTGCATAGTGTAAATAAAATAGGTTTTAAAAATAGTTGTTCAAAGGTTTTTAATCCCAGAGAATGTAAAAGCAGTATAAAAGTCTGTAGACTTAATAACTGTTTGGAGATTAGAAAATATAACTACAAACTTAGGAAAAAGTTTAGAATTCTCATGGATTTATTTAAATATTACAGAGAAAGAATGACATGCTCATGGGCATAAATCATTTCCAGCTTCATTTATTCCTCTTTAAAATAAGCTATACCAAAAGGGCAGAAACTGAATAACTCGAAGATGTCCTAAGTTTGACTTTAAAGAAAGTCACAGAACATTGGACATGATCCAGTTAAAAATACTATGGAAATCTGAAAAAAAAAATGACTTTATTTCTACTCAAAAGCTTTACAGTCCTCTCCAACATGTGAGTTCATTGATCTCAGAATCCTTTATCAATGGGAGAAAATTTCGCACCTGTCAAGACTGAATCTAAAACCTTTTTAAATCCATGAAAAAAATCAAGTTTGCTCTTTTCTTTCCTGCAGTTTTAAGGTCAGAATGTTTAGATGTCTCTGAATCAAATTTATGTCTCTGTGAGCTATAAGAACTCAGTTGGTTTTCATAGTGTCTTTAAATACAAAAGTAATCCATCCAGCTAATCTTCCATCCATCCATCCAATATCCTTATGCCCATTTTATGCCAGACTTTGGTTATATTCTGAGTTAGCATCCAGGAAAACTTTTAAAATTTATACCATAATCTAGACATCAGATTGCATTAAAATAACCAAATTCTGTATACTTATTCAAATCCCTTCATTCCTACTTTAAACCGTACTGTTTAAACAGTCACTTAAACTGTGTCCCTTTACAAGTCACAAATTTAACATTAGGAAAAATATTCCAGAAGCATATTGCCACCCATATTCACTAGTTTTCCCCTGGCCAAAGAAATGTTTAGCATTTTTCCCATGTAGAAATTATGAGAGGGTTACTACTTAAATAATTTTCCAATATAAAAAATATTATATACAATATAAATTGACATAAACTTTTCAGAGAACAACTTGGCATTATATAACAAAAATGTGTAAGAAATTCATGATGGCACTCAACAAAATTACTTGAAAGAATATATGCATTAGTTTTCTGGGGCTGTCATAACAAAATACCATAGGCAAGATGGCTTAAACAATACAAATTTATTGGCTCAAAGTTCTGGGGATTGAGGTGCTTCCAGGGTTGTTTTTTTCTGAGCACTGTGAGGGAATAATCTGTTCTAGGCCTCTCTGCTTAGCTTGGAGCTGGCTGGCTTCTACCTACATCTCATCACATTCTTGATTACCTTCCCGCCATGCCTGTCTCTGTGTTCAAATGTCCCCATCTTATAAGAGTACCAATCATATTGCTTTAGGTCCCACTTTAATAACCTCATTTTAACTTGATTACTCTATAATGACCCTATCTCTAAATAAGGCCACATTCTGAGGTACTGGGAGTTAGGACTTCAACATATGCATATTGGGAAGTTATAACTCAACTCATAATAATAATTACATATATGTGATGAAATATTATTAATGTAGTTTCTTTTACAAAGCTAAATCTTGCAGGTAAAACAAAATCAAAGTAAACTTACATATGCATAAAAATAGAGGGTTTAGTATAATATGACATACTTATGCAAAAGATTGCTATGAATTCATTAAGAAGCTTTGAATAGACGTGTACATAATAGATAAATGTAGATATGAAATATGTTAAAATATTTTTTTACATAAAAAGAAACAAATTGCAACAACATTTTAAGTGCGTAACTATGTATGAATGCATGTATATATGCATATATACAGATAGCCTAGAAAAGAAGGATAGGATTAATAGATAACTTTAAAGTTAGTACTAATCAGAATTGCCTGTAAGGAGTAGGGCTAGGAATTAAAAGGCTCATGGAAAATTTACATTAGTAGCATCAACAGATGTTAAACAAAATGGTAAATAATTTCTGTAAGTACTATCATGAGAAAAAAGCCTGTCAGGAAAAAGATATTAAATGAAAATTTAACTTCTCCAGTTAATCAATATGTGAATCTGAGCAAAGCATTCTCTCTCTGATGTGATTTCTTCCTATATAAAATGACAATAATAATAATGTCTTTTTAATAAAGTTGCTTAGGAGTGAAATGCAATTGCTTATAAACATACACCACACACACGCACACACACACCACACATGCACACACACACACACGTGCTGAGCTTGCAATTGCCAAGCTGGTCAATTAGGACAATGAACCAAACTGAAATAACAATCAAGCATCTATTCCCTTACTGTGGCAGTGAAGGTAAGAGACAAAAATAAAAGATGCCAGTTCCCCAGGGTTCCATTTTTCTCTGTATTTGGCACTGAGTGACGGTCACATGACATGCAGCACAGATAGATAGAACTGTCCTATTGCTGTGATGTCCTAAACAAAAGTTTTTGCTTTTTTATGGACCTGGAGGACAAGAGGAAGTACTGGGGGAAGGGTTAGGGGTAGAAAAGTGCCTCAGCCAATGCCCCTGAAAAGGAGGGCTCTGCATGGAGATACCTTGGCTTGGACACAACAATGTGTATAAGCAAGCTAGTACAGTGGGCCTGAATCCTTGACTGAAATTCCCTCCAGAAAACTGCAGTGCATTAACTGTGTATGACATCCAATATGGGTTTGGCTGCTGTTTCCACGAGATGTAGCAGGCAAAGCCACTGGTTGGGCCTGAAGGATCACACATAAGGTTTAGGCCTGAAGCTGTACATCTCATAAGATAATTAAAACCAGGATTGGTGTAAATACTATAAGTGATCACATATAAATGCAGAGGTTTACATGCACATGCATGAAAATGGCTACAAATGATAGAACCTCAAAGTTTATCTTGCTTTCATAAAATTTGCTTTATAAAAAGAAGTATATAGTTCAGGAGAGAAAGATATTAGAGGGTCGTAGATGAAACAAGAAGGCATTTGAGGAAGTTATAGCAGTTTTGAAAATATTTTCAAACTGAAAATTTTAACTTAGATTTTTGGTTTTAAGTATTTGTAAATTGAGATCTAGAAAAGTTAAATTTACTTTGTGCCTAAAGAGCTAGACAATGAGTTAAAAATTAGAGCTGAACTCCAAACTTTAATATTTACTGGATAAAGTTTTATCCTGATGAAAATATAAAAATTGCACTTTATTGAAATTATTACTTTACTTGAATGGTACACATGATGATTTTTAAATAATTGTAAAAGTTAACTCAAAGGATTTGTGCAGACAATGCCCTTCTATTTAAGTGGTATGATCTTTTAAAGTTATTTTATTTAAGACCAGCAAATAGAATTCACTGGTTTGTATATATTCAGTAATCCTCTGTTAAATGTCGTACATTTCCCACCTAGAGTCAGAGTAATCTAATATTTTTTAAAGTCAATAAAATAAGACAAATATGTATGTTGGAATTGAATTAAGTCCTAAAGTAAACTTTATTATTAATAATATACTAATTATAATAAAAATAAAAATATCAATAAAAAGTCTTACCTTTTTTGATTCTCCCTATTTTCAGATTTATTTGCAGCCCTGAATCAGGTAACACTGGTTCTTCTAATTTTCTTTTCATCAAAATTTTTCGGATGTTTTCCATTAGGAAATTCTACTATTTATTTAAAATTATGAGTAACCAACTATGTTTTGTTGCAACTGCTTTTATTCACTTCTTACTCTACTTCATTATAGGACAGAAGAGCTAAAATGAATAAAAGGGTAATATATGTTTTTGGACAATATTAATTTAATATTTTTTAGATCCACACAATCAAACATTGGATAAATAAATGTATATTTTAAACTTAAAGAGCTGGCAAAACTTTCTGGAGTGTTGTTCATTCATTTCTTTTGATAAATAGTGACTTTAAGCATGCAAGCAATAGGTTTCCAAAGATCTCTCAGGTTTATTCAAATAGCTTGTTAATTTAGTTGATTTTTATAGAGTATACATACTTCTGATGCTTTTCTCAATCTTAAGAGAAATTATATAAATATAAACTAATGTACCAATTTTTGAAAACTCTATTGATAAATATATCATAATTATTCAGTAGCGTATTATGCAGTTGACATTATGGGAAATTTCAGGCAAATATACCTGGCAAATATGCCTGGCATCTTTTCTGTATTTTGAGTCTTTCATTAGCTATATTATAGAAATTCCTTGAGTAGCCAACTTAATAGACAATAGTAAAGACAGTGAAGTAAAATTGCACTGGATGGATGTAAACTAAATATGTTACTCTTTGTTTTATTTTTGAACATGTCCCAAAACAAAGATGTTTATGTTATTCACCTTTCAAATACAAATTATATTTTCAAATATGCTAAATAACTGAATTGTATTTTGTATACAATATAAAAATGTTTTAAGAAGACATAGAAAAAATTGACTTGCATTTTAGTAATATCAGAAAGTTTAAAAGATTGCATTTTATGTCTATACTAAAAGCACAATCTTATGCAAACAGTAAAGAATCGGTTTTTTCCCTGTACAGTCAGAGTAGATTGCTTGAAACCATCACTTTGGCCTGTGAAAATTAGTTGTACATTGTGTATAAAACATTTTCCTATTTTTAAAAAATATATAATTATCTGGATGCTAGATAATATTCCAAAGAACAAATTTTAAAAAATAGACAAAAATTCCATCAATGTTTACATAGCAAATACAGAGAACTAGTTTGGTTACTCACATTGTTGTGAGTTTCTATAACAAAAATCCAACAAAAGGAGTTCCTTATTCCTACACTTACCATTGTAGAAATGTCTCTGCAATTGGACATGATGACTTTAGATAATTTTATCAGACAAAACTTATAGTTTAAATAAAATGCAATTGCTGATGTTACCTTCAAACATCATCAAACTTTTTATATCAGTAAATGTATTTGTTTTGTATGGGGGGCAGTGCAGGGAGAGTGCCCATGTGTTGTAATGTGTTATATTTTTATGTGATACTGTTTGTGCTAGACAGATCAAGGTTCAAATTTCAGTAAGATCACTTTCCAACTTTGTGACTATCCCTATCTTCTCGAGTCTCTGAAAATCATTTTTTTCTCATTTGTGAAATTATAATAATAATAATATGTACTTCTCAACTTTTCTGAAAATTATTGAAAAATATTTACCTGGAATAGAATGGACATATAATAAATTATATCTTTAACATATAATAATGTTTATTCTTCTAAGTTATGAAATAGCACGTTTCCCTCCTTTAAACAATTATCTTAATAGTTAAATGTAGAAATAAACTGTTACATATGTGCTGGCCTAAAATAGTTTGCATTTGAAACCACCTAATTGTTCCTAAGTAATTATAAAATAGGTATTCTGTCTCAGTTCTAAAGAAGCTTTTAGATAATTACTTTATACTTTGATTTGACATAAATGTTTATTCCTAAATGTACTAGATATACTAAAGGCATTTTACATCCGGCTTTTTTCACTTGTTGAAGCCGTGTTTTCATTTTTAAATGTTTATGTTCATGTTCACCTAGTATCGCTTTTCTGCAATCTGTGTAAATACATTATAATTATTACTAATTTGGGGTCAAGAAACTAAGAAGTTGAAGGAACTTTTCTTATTTAATCATGATAGAAATTAATAAAGTATATACATATTGGATAACTTGATCTTTCCTACAACCTGTGCACCAAATTCAATTGAAGATTGACACGTATGCTATGCGAGCTGTATCAAAGACTACTTTGGAGCATTTCTACTAGAGGACATTTCCAAGGCAGAAAATTGATCAAAGTATTTATTTTCCCTAGATTCTAACACAAAGCAACATCAAATAAATTTGCTTTGCTGGTTTGGTTTTCTTACATGCTTTGAACTAGAAGTATAATATACTGACTAAGTCTTTGTGTCCTGAAGTAAAATTATGAATCTTTCCTCCGGAATAAACTTAAAGAAACTCATGAATAGTTGAAGAAAACATAGATGAAAGAAGTTTTTTGCTTCTCTACTTGGTGGCATTTTTGTAATCTTGAATTTATATAGAACTAGCTAGATTATCAAAATATCTCTGATCTCAGTGTATAGAAAGATAAGATTTATATGTTTATTTAAACTATGTGAGTTTCACATAAAATAAATGAATTAAATTCACATTAAGTGCTCCTCAGTTAGCAGTTTATTATAATAAAAGGATCCACAATAAAAATCATGTAGATTTAAAAACATATCAGAACTATCCCAGCAATGATCTGAAGTTTTCATTTAACTTTTTATTTTTTTATTTTTTTATTTTTTATTTTTTTTATATGTGAAGAGATATCTCTTAGGGTTTCATTTGTCTTCTTGCAAAGTATGAATATAATCAGTTATCTGATTTAAGAAATGTTATGATTATGAAAGTCACTGCTACAAGGAGTTGTGTTAAGAATGTGTGACATTTAAATGTGTTATATTAGCACTTATATTTATATTATTTTACCTATATTATTAACATTGTTATAAATATTCCTTTGTTACTTTTTAAAAATTATGTATTTGTTTGTAATTGAAAAACCATACTTATGTATATTTACAGGGTACAATGTTATGTTTTGATCCATTTGTATATTATAGAAAGAGTCAAGCTGATTAATATATCTATTACTGCACTTACTTTTTTGTGATGAGAACATTAAAAATCTATTCTTTTAGCAATTTTGAAATATACAATGCATTATCATTAATTGTGGTCACTATGTAGTGCAATAGATCACTAAAACTTATTGTTCCAATCTAACTAAAAGATTTTACTCCTTGATCAATATCATTCCTTTGCCTGGACCTACCCCTGTCTACCTCTTACCTCCCATAACCACCCTTCTACTCTCTGTTTCTATGAGATCAATCGTTTTACACTGTACATGTAAGTGAGCTCATACAGTATTTGCTTTCTGTGCTTGGCTTATTTCACTTTGCATAATGCCCTTTAGCTTCATTCATATTATTGTGAAAAAAAGACTTTTCTTCTTTTTAAAGGCTGTAGAATATTCCACTGTGCACGTACACATACCACATTTTCTTTATCTATTCTTCTGTTTATGAACATTTATGTTTCTTCCATCTTCACAATTGTGAATAATATTGAAATAAACACGTAGGTGAAGATATCTCTTGAACATACGGGTTTCAATTCCTTTGTGCATATGCTTAGAAGGGGGGCCTGGTGTGGTGATACGTGCCTGTAGTTTCAGCTACTCAGGAGACTGAGGTGGGAAGACTACTTCAGCCCAGGAATATAAGGCTGCTTTGAGCACACCACTGCACTATAGCCTTAGTGGCAGAGCAAGACCCCCATCTAAAAAAAAAAAAAAAAAACACTGGGATTGGTAGATTAAACAATAATTCTATTTTTAGATTTTTGCAGAACCTCTATACCATTTCCCAAAAATTGTTGTACTAGTTTACTTTCCCACTAACAGTGTACAGAGGTTATCTTTCCTCTACATCCTCACCAACACTTAACTATCATTCATCTTTTTGATAATAGCCATTCTAACAGGTATGAAGTGATATTTATTGTGGTTTTAATTTGCATTTCCCTGCTGATTAAAGATGTTGAGCATTTTTTATATATCTGTTGGCCATTTGTAGTTTTTAATCTGAGAAATGGCTTTTCTGGTCCTTTGCTCAACTTTTAAATTGAATTATTTGTTTTCTTGTTGTAGAATTGTATGATTTCCTTATGTATTTCAGCTACTAGTCCATTATCAGATGTGTGGCTTGCAAATATTTTCTCCCAATTTGTGGGTTGTCCCTTCACTCTCTTAATTGTTTCCTTTGCTGTATAGAAGCCTTTTAATTTGACTTAATTCAATTTATCTATTTTTGCTTTTGATTCCTGTGGCTTTGAAATTATTTCCAATAAATAAATCACTGTCCAGACCAATATTGCAGAGATTTTCCCTTATGTTTTCTTCTAGTAGTTTTACAATTTCAGGGCTTACCTTAAAGTCCTTATCCATTTTTAGTTTATTTTTGCATATGGTTTGAGATGAGGGTCCAATTTTATTCTTCTGCAAGAGGATATTTGGTTATCCAAACACCATTTATTGAAGAGACTGTAACTTCCCCATTATGGCAGCTTTTCCAAAATTCAATTGACCTTAAATACATGGATTTATTTCTGGACTTTCTATCCGGTTCCATTGGTAAATGTGTTTTCTAATTCCAGTATCATGCTGTTTTGATTATAATAGCTTTATGATATATTTTAAAATCAGGAGTATGATGCCTCCAGCTTTGTTCTTTTTGCTCAAGATTGTTCTGGCTATTTGGAGGTCTTTTCAGGTTTTATACAAGTTATAAAATTGTTCTATTTTTTGAAAAAGAACATTGGAGTTTTATGGAAATTGCATTGGATCTGTAGACTTCCTTGGGTAGTATGGATTTGTTAACAATATTAATTATTTCAATCCATATACATGGAATATTCTTTACTTGTTTCTCCTTCAGTTACATTCATTGTAACTTAAAAGTTACTGAAAGTAACTGAAAGTTTTATAGCTTTCAGTGCACAGATCTTTGATCTCCTTAGTTAAATTTACTCCTAAGTATTTTTTGATGCCACTATAAATAAGATTGTTTTCTTAATTTTTTGTGGGGGGGGATAGTTTGTTCTTAGTGTATAGAAATGGTACTCATTTTTTAATGTTGATTTTCAAACCTGCCACTTCATTGAATTTCTCAGTTCTAACAGTATTCTGATGCAGTCTTTAGGGTTTTCTGTATAAGCGGTCATACCAGAGATGATAATTTATCAAACACCAAATAGAGATAATTTCACTTCTCCTTTTCCTGTATGGATGAATTTTTTATTTTTATCTTTTGCCAAATTGCTCTTGCCAAGACTCCAATAATATGTTGAATGAAAGTGGTGGGAGTGGGCATCTTTGTCTTGTTGTTTATCTTAGAAGAAAAGATGTCTAATTTTTACCTTGCATTTGAGGTAAGCTATGAGCTTGTCATATACGACCTTTACTATGTTGAAATAGATTCCTTCTGTACCTATTTTTTGAGAGATTTTACTATGAACAGATGTTGATTTTGTCGAATTATTTTTCTGCATCTATTGAGATGAAAGATGAGAGGAAAAATAAATAGAAAATAGGAAAACAATAAAAGAATCAACAAAACTAAAAGTTGTTTATTTAAAAGATAAAATCAACAAAACTTTAGTTAGACTTACAAAGAAAGGAAAAGTGAAGACTCAAAATCAGAAACGAAAGACAAGACATTATGACTGGTGCCACAGAAATGCAAAGATCATAAAAGAATAGTATGAATAACTATATACTAACCAATTAGTTCACCTAGAAGGAAGGGATGAATTCCTAGAAGCATGCAACCTACCAAGACTAAATCAGGAAGAAACAGAGCATCTGAAGAGACAAATAACAAATAAAGAGATTGAATTAGTAGTAAAACGTCTCCCATCAAAGAAATGCCCAGGAATTGACGGCTACACTGCTAAATTTTACCAAACATTAAAAAATGAATAAAAATCCTTCTCATACTCTTCCAAAAAATTTGAAAAGGAGGGAATACTTTCAAACTTGTTGTACAAGACTAGCATCCTCCTGATACCAAATCCAGAAAAGGACACTACAGGCAAAGAAGACTACAGGTCAATATCCCTGAGGAACACAGATGCAAACATTCTCAACAAAACACTAAAAAACCAAATTCAGTAGCCCATTAAAAGAAATCATTCATCATTATCAAGTGAGATTTACTGAAGAGATGCAAGAATGATACAACACATGTAAATCAACAAATGTGATATACCTAACTAATAAAATAATGGGCAAAAACTATATTAATATCTATTTTTATGAAAGAGTTAAAATAAATGTACTTATCTTATAATAGTGATTAGAGAAAGGATTTAAATCAACTTATTGGATTCGGTGTCATTATCCTCCATGCCACTTTTTAATTACTGGGATAATAATATTCAGCAATTAAATGTGCTTCTTTACAAATCACTTAAAAGATAGCCTGAATCTCTGTCTTCTTATATTGGCTATGGGACTTGTATGAGATGACAGATGGTTGGTTGAATTCTAGGCAACACTTTGTGGGGATGATAGAAGACACAAAACTATGTGCATTTTTTATCTTAATTTCCAACTGCAGCTACTTATTTAAGGATCTCTTGGTGACAATAGAAATAGCTAAAAAAATGTTTTGGAATTGGCATTGACTAGGGAGTGTCAAGAGCTGTCCTCATGTAGAGAGTTATGGCAAGCATGGCTTTTTTTGCTAGAACATATGTTCATCCATCTTATACCCCTAAAAATTCTCCTTCAAATTTATTTATGATCTTTCTAAGAAAAATCCAAAATCTCCCATGAATATATAATATTATCATTTATATACTTCTTTTTGTTAAAATAATTAACTGCCTTTGTTCATGGTAAACCTAATGAATGACTAGATTAAATACAATGATTGGAATCTCTCATGAAGTCAGTATTGAAATGAAAATATCAATTACTTTTCAATCTGACAATCTGTAGCAATAAAATAGTATTGATCAAGGTTCTATAACTTAGGTGAAAAACATAATCCTCAATACACTTTGTTATGAGATTGTATTGAATATCTATGTATTTCCATTCACAGAAAATTTTCCTAACACTTTTTGAGTCAGGGTCTCACTGTGCTGTGCAAAGGCATGATCATTGCTCATGACAGCCTCGAAATCCTAGGCTCCAGTGATCCTTCCACCTCAGCCACCTGGGTTATATATATATATATACACATATATATATATATATATATATATACACACACACACATATATATATACACACACACACATATATATATACACATATATATACACATATATATACATATATACACATATATACACATATATATACACACACACATATATATACACACACACACACATATATATACACACACACACATATATATATATATATATGTATATATTTAATTTAGATTCAGGGGGGTACATGTGCAGCAATTCTACTACTGGGTATTTACCCAAAGGAGAATAAATCTTTTTACCAAAAAGACACCAGCATTTGCATTTTTATCACAGCACTATTCTCAATAGGAAAGACATGGAATCAACCCAGGTGCCTATCAGTGGTGGATTGGATAAAGGCAATGTGGTAGAAAGACATCATGGAATACGGCAGAGCCATAAAAAGAAGGAAGTCATGTCCTCTGCAGCAACACAGATGCAGCTGGTGGCCATTATTCTAAGTGAATTAACGCAGAAACAGAAAACCAAATACCACATGGTCTCGCTTATAAGTGGGAGCTAACACTGAATACATGTGGACATAAAGATGGGAAAAATAGACACTGGGGACTCCAAAACAGGGAAGGAATGGTGGGGGTAAGTGTTGAAAAACTATCTATTTGGTAATATGTTCACTATTTGGATGATGGGTTCAGTTGAAGCTGGCTAAGTTTTTAAATTTTTAGAGATGGAATCTTCTTACGTTGCCCAGGCTGGTCTCAAGCTCCTTGCCTCACATGATCCTTCTGCCTGGGCCTCTGAAAGCACTGGAATTACAGGTGTAAGCCCCCATGTCCAGCCCATAACACTTTATTATATTTTACATGTATAACCTTAACATCTCTGGATAATTTATAAATGCTTGAAAACATTTGACAAATAGAATGTCCATTTGATTGCTATAGTGACATAATTTCCAGTTCTTTTTAAAAAAGTTACAACATTCTACATTTTTACTTTATTATTTATGATAGTCTAAAATGAAGATAAATAACTGATAGATTGGCTTATCAATCTACACATTCTTCATCATTCATTCGGCAATAAAGAGGTTCTTTTAGGTGTTTCGGCTGCAGTAACAAACAGAACAGAGGAAAATTAATCCTAACTTAGACCTTAACAATCTAGAATGAAGAAATAGACATAAAAAAGCATGCAATTTTATACATTATGTAAATGGTCACAAAAGCTTTGGAGGTAAAGGGTTTTCCTACTGCCTGGAACAGGTGGTGGGAGTTTTTACTTTATTTCTAATGATCACCAAAAACAGGATATTTGAAGAGAGAGCTAAACAAGGAGAGGGCTCTTCATGAAGGCAAGCACAGTGAGAACATTAAGAGAACATAAAAGCAGACTCAAAGTTTAAGACCAAAAGCAGTGAAAAGAGTAATGAGTCAGTGCATCTGGAGCAGAGTGAGCAAGGACGGTTAGGTAGGGGGTGAAAGACAGGTAGTGGTGCACAAATCCTGTCAGGTTTGATTGCCATTGAAAAGACAATGGTTTTAACTGTGAAACAATGTTAAGGCCATGGACAGTTTTAAACCATTAAGCGACAGTATCTTGTTATGTTTTTTAAGTATCACTGTCTGCTATATTGTAAGTAGACTGAAGATTGGTATGTCAAGAACAGAAGCAGGAAATGCAGTTAGTGCTTATAAAATTCTATTGAGGACATGATGGTGACTTGGGTTGTGTAAAAGATGAAATGTGGCAGTGTTTGCAGGATTCAGTGTGCATTAGATGTGGGGTCATAGGGGAAAGAATGAAGTCAAGAATGACTTCAAGACTTTTGGGCTGAGTAACCAAGAAAAAGAAGTCAGATTTCAGGTTTGAAAGAGGAGGAATCCTCCCTTAGGTTTTGAACATGTTCACATGGGGTGCCTCCTACATATTATAAAAGCAGAGTGTTAAGTCAGCAGCTGGAATTGCATCGAAAGTCCAGGAGAGAGGTTCAAGCTGGTGATGCAAATAAGTTTTCATCAATGTATAGATGCCATTTAAAATGTATGACCCCATGAGATGACTTGGAATGTTAGTGGAACTACAAAAGAAAAGAGAGCCAAGGGTCCAGAAGCAGTGGCTCACGCCTGTAATACCAGTATTTTGGGAGGCCGAGGCGGGTGGATTACGAGGTCAGGAGATTGAGACCATCCTGGCTAACACAGTGAAACCCCGTCTCTACTGAAAAATACAAAAAAAATTACCCTGGTGTGGTGGTGGGCGCCTGTAGTCCCAGCTACTCCGGAGGCTGAGGCAAGAGAATGGCGTGAACCGGGGAGGCGGAGCTGGCAGTGAGCCGAGATCGCACCACTGCACTCCAGCCTGGGCGACAGAACGAGACTCCATCTCAAAAAAAATATAAATAAATAAAAAGAGAGCTAGGACTTCTCAGAATATAACAAAACTACGAGACCAGAAAGATGATAAAAACCAGGCTGAGAAGCATTAGCTAGGGAGACTGTAGGAGAATCAGAATGAATCTAGGTAACTGAGCCACATTTTACATTAATAAAAAAATTAAATCCCCTGGGTTACCATTTCTTTGCAATAACAGAAACTAATCTGAAAACATACTCAGAGAGAATAGTGTGAAAACCTGTGTTCCCAGAAAGATGATGGCTTTTGGTCTTTATTAGAATACATATTGCTCCATTTCAAATAATTATTTTTTGAAAAAAATTTCTAAAAATCCTTATAAATAAAGTTAAATAGTTCATTTATGCAAAGAAAAACAAAAACAAACTAGTACTGGGGGATAGTTTCAACTCACAGAATAAAAAGATGGCTTAAAAACTTAAATACTTAAAAACAGAAAAAACAACAACCCCCCCCAAAAAAAAAACAAACAAAAAAGCAACATGTAAATAGCTCTCCTTGATTCACATTCCTAACCCTAACCTAGAGTGGGAGAGCATGTCATACTTACTAAGACTCACAGTAGATTCTTTAGAGAAAAATCAGGTTACCATGACCAAATGTATATGAATTGGATGTTAATATTATTCTCAATTGTCTTTGATAATTTCGTCTCCCACATTGTCTTTTTCCTCCCCTTCTAAGACAGCTATAATTAAGAATCAAAACCTCCTAAAACTAGAACCCAATGTTTTGCAAATAATTTATGTCTCGCTAATTTTTCTTCTCTATAATTCAAAACAATAAATTTTATCTTCTAGACGAAACGTTGTCTATAGAATTCTAATTATTAACGTTATATTTTTCCAAAAAATGTTTACTTTTCTGATTATTTTATATTCATAGCAAGTCTGTTCCATATTTAGAACTGAAATCTCCTCTGCAAATTCTCTGATTGTAATAATAATGTTTCTACAATTTTCAGGTGTTCTTTTTTATGTATTAGCTTTCCTCTTTTCTGCTATTATCCTCAAATATCTCGCAATCCTTGGTTATCTGATGACAATTCTGAATGAAGTTACTTGGAGATGGTAGTTAAATGTTTCCTCTGAAGTTGTGTAGTTTCTTGAATTCAGAAATTTGAATGTATTTCAATTAGTTGAAACACACTAATTTCCATTAAAATGAAAGTATGTTGAGCAGAAAGGTTAGCAGCATATAAAATACATACAAAAGTATTTATAAAATACCTGCATATGATGTAAATGTATAAATAAAATGTGCATATATATATATATATATATATATATATATATATATACACACACACACTGAAAATATACTCTTGAAAAAAAAGTATCCAATGCCATTGGCATCTTCTGGGTGATACTTCTAAGTGTAATTACTTTCTTCTCTTCAGAGGTAAGCTGTGCTTTAAATTTTATTTTTGTCATTCATGTGACTTCTTAATAGTTATAATCTATATGTATGAAACCCTACATATGGTTTGGTTTACACATTTTTGAATTATAAATAGAATACAGTATTTATTCTGCCATCATTTGCCTGCTTTTTGTCTTCTCCAAGATGTAGATTTGTGACATTCATAATGTTTACATTTGTATACCTAGTTCAGCAGTTAGCAAACTATGGCCAATGGACCAAATCAGATCAGCAACCCCTTTTGTTTTACAACCTTTGAGCTCATGTTTTAAATCTTAAAGTTTTGTTTTGTTTTTTAAAAAAGTCAGGAAACAACAGGTGCCAGAGAGGATGTGGAGAAATAGGAACACTTTTACACTGTTGGTGGGACTGTAAACTAGTTCAACCACTGTGGAAGACAGTGTGGCGATTCCTCAAGGACCTAGAACTAGAAATACCATTTGACCCAGCCATCCCATTACTGGGTATATACCCAAAGGATTATAAATTATGCTGCTACAAAGACACATGCACACATATGTTTATTGTGGCACTATTCACAATAGCAAAGACTTGGTACCAACTCCAATGTCCATCAATGATAGACTGGATTAAGAAAATGTGGCACATATACACCATGGAATACTATGCAGCCATAAAAAAGGATGAGTTCATGTCCTTTGTAGGGACACAGATGAAAGCTGGAAACCATCGTTCCGAGCAAACTATTGCAAGGAGGACAGAAAACCAAATACTGCATGTTCTCATTCATAAGTGGGAATTGAACATTGAGAACACTTGGACACAGGGTGGGGAACATTTGTTTTCTAGATGAAATGTTGTCTATAGTAATTCTAATTATTAATGTAATTTTTTTCTAGTAAAAATGTTTACTTTTCTGATTATTTTATATTCATGGCAAGTCTATTCCATATTTAGAACTGTAATCTCCTCTGCAAGATTTCACGGGGTGGGGAGAGGGGGGAGGGATAGCATTAGGAGATATACCTAATGTAAATGACGAGTTAATGGGTGTAGCACACCAACATGGCACATGTACACATATGTAACAAAACTGCACATTGTGCACATGTACCCTAGAACTTAAAGTATAAGAAAAAAAGAAAAGAATTTAAAAAAATAAATAAGTATATATGAAAGAGAACATGTGTGATGCTCAAAGACTAAAATATATACTATCTGACACTTTATTAGAAAAGTTTGCCAAACCCTGCTCTACTTCATTCTTACCTATCTCCACCTTACCCATGAGGTCTTTACTAACCTCCCAGTTTCATTTGTAAAACCTCCACAAATATTCTCTATTTCCTGCCACAAATCTTTCTCTACAGCACTGATTATTATTTCATATACTATATGCTTAGTAATCAATCTTATCAAATCATATAATTTATGTATTGATTCGGTGGCCTTGGTGGAAATTTGATTATTTACAGGTCATTTTGCTTTGTTTCATTTTGTTATTGTTTTGCTATTGCAAAATCATATGTATTTACTGACAAATCTATAAAATAATATTACTTAAAAATAAAATATGGGATATTTACATAATATGTATTTTCATTTTTACTAGACTCCAACATGATTACACAAATTACATTCCACTGAAGTGTATAAGTATTTTCATTCCTACATATCCCAGACAACATTTAGAATACAGTTGCAGTAAACATGTATTTCATTATGGTTCTTATTTTTACTTCCCAGATTAATAATGAGATCAAATATCTCTTCCTATCTATTGGGTTTCATGCTCTCATGTCTCTAAAATGCCTGTTCATTTCTCTTGCCTATAAGTCTATTGAGTGGTGGGGTTTTTTTCATTGATTTTTGCTTCTTTATACATTTTGAATATTAATCCTCTGTAAGCTATTTTTATCTCAAATATCTTCTCCATTTTGTGACTTGTCTTATAACTTTATTGTGTTTTCTTGCTGAACCTATACTGTTAATCTGAATGTTGTAAAATTAATCAATAATTTCCTTTATGATTTTATATTTTCATATTTTTTATATCTTAATTTAAAAATCATTTCCCAACCTAAGTAAAGAGCTACTTGCCTAATAAGTTGTTCTTATTTGAGTTTTAATTGAGTTTTGCACCTGGTATGAGGTGGGAATCTAATTTAATATTTTTTCCTCTGTGCATAACAACCCATCTATTGGAATATTTACCTATTCTTCTGGCAATAGCACATTATATTGATATTTGCAATTTTTTACTGTCTTGATATCATAAAATGTATTTTGCTTTCTGTCTACCCATACCTGTCTAACTATATCTTTGCTGGTTATTTGTTCTTTCATATAAATTGTAAAATTAACTTGTTAAGTTTCTCATAAATCTCTGTTAAAATTTTTGTTAGAATTAAACTGGATGAGTTGATTGAGTCTTATATATAGCTGGTTTTATTATTACTTTTCCTGTCTATAAGATATCTCTAAATTTTATTTTCTTTTATATTACCTTATGCCTTTTTCTTCACCATCAAGCACCCAAAAGACACTTCCATATCAAAGTTGCCTCTTTCTCCCAAAATAATGCCTCCCCCAACTGCCACCACATCCATTGGTCAGGACATCATTTTGGACATAGTGGAATATAATTGCAAAATATCCAGAATCTGACTCTTCCTCACTACCTTTATTGCTACAATCACATCAACACTAAATTGTTGCAAATTGTTGCCATTTAAATTATCTCCGTCTTCTGCCTTTGAATCTATATGTTAAAATTATCTCAGATCATGGCCACTCCATTGATCTAAATCTCTTAGTGGCTTCTCTTCTCACCCAGAATAAATCTCAGAGACATTAAAATGAACAACATTGTCCTATACCATAACATGCTGTTACCATTCTGATCTTTTATCTACTGTTCTTCTCTTCATTCAGTGTGTTCCAGCACTCTGGCCTCCTTGTACAATTCTTCCTCAGGACCTTTGCTTATGCATGTCTCTCTGCCTTGGATGTTCTTGCTTTTATATCCTTCGACCTTATTTCACCTTATACATTAGATCCTTACTGACCTCCCCATTTCATTTGTAAACCTCCACAAATGTTCTCTATTTCTTGCCACTAATCTATCTTTCTCCACAGCACTTATCATTTTATTTACTATATATTTTATTGATTTATTTTATTAAATAGAATATGAAAATTAAAGCCAGATATTTTTATGTTTTTATACTGTTCACCATCAACTCCAGCACAACTCCAAGCATATAAGAGGAGCCCCATGAATATTTATTGAATATATGAATTAATAAATGAGCTCACAAAAATAGAAATAAAGATATAAATATATGAATATTCTAAATACTTGGAAATCCTATCAACAAGTGATTATCCTGGCAAAGAGATAAAATATGGTACTTAACTTTCGTCAACATTTGTGCATAGAGTCAATAACAAATACATTCTAAATGAACAGAAAAGCTTTAGTACAACTTATAGAGTAAATTGGATTTAAGGGGGTGTGTGATAGCGTGGCGACAATGTGCATCCTCCACTGTTTTATTTTAACCTCTCTTTTCACTTAATTTACTAAAGTAACTAGGTATTTCTGGCCATAGAATAATTTTATGCTTATATAGAGAGAGCTTTACCTTTTTCTTTTCTCTTTTAATTTCCCCTTGTTTTTTAAGTCTCATCTTTCTCCTCTGAAATAATGAACCTAATCTGTTTATCTTACAGTACAGGGGTGAATTCCATTGATTAAAAAATATTATTTTTATTATACCAGTTAATCCAAATCTGAATTTGTATTCTTTATCTTTCTAAATTTCATATTTTCTAATAGTTATTCTGCAACATACATTTGTTTGTTTCACAAATTATTTTAAAACAATTGAGTGTTGCATTAAACATAAAACTATTGCAGAGTACCCATTATGGTAATAAAACAACAAAACCATAGAGGAATAATTGTAGACACACATAAAAGAGTCAAGTCACTGACTTTTGCATAGCAGGTAAGACTTTAAGTCTTTACCATTCTAGAAGTTTTCTTTCTGAAAAAAAAGGCAATATATGAGAGCATATTCTAGTCCAAAATATACAGTTTCAACCTGCCTTTTTCACAAAGTTCATTGGAAGAAAAGGCACAGCTTAAGGGCTACCACTGCAAACACCTGTAATATAAAATGATACAGCAACTAGAACCATAGATGGCTTTATATGTCAACAACTGGACTTAAAGTGAAACTGAAAACTTCTGTTTGTTTATATAAACATTTGTATAATAAGAATGACTATGATAATAAGCTAACATTACAGAACACTTGCTTTGTTCAAGCACTGTCCTAAGCACCTTAAGTATATTTGCTTTTATTACATTTAAAATCAAACTAATATTATCCCATTTTTCACAAATGAGAAGTCTGAAGCTTAAGAGGGTAAATGAATTACTGACCATTGTGTAGCTAGTAAATGCTAGAGCCAGAAATTGAAACTAAGTATTTTTGCTCATCGTAACCATTACATATTGTTGGGTCTCTGATATAAGGATTCAACCATTAGCAAAAGAAAAATATGGGGAGTGAAATGCCACATAGCCAACAATAATGTAATACTGTACTTAGAAAATAAAAGGAAAGTCTGGAAATGACCAGGATTGTAACATTTCTCTTATTTTCACCATACTAATTTTTTTTCCAGTTTCTCAAGGAGAGAGATTGGAGTTAATAATACTAAAAATACAGAGTGTATTATTGAAAGGCAAATGTTTGAAACACTGTGTTTCATAATGTGACCTAGTTATACTTTATAAACACTTGCATCAAATAAACTTTCTCTAGTATTTTAATTACAAACTAAATTTATATTTTGTGAAGAGTATGCAGGTTAGAAAAGAACATCTTTAAGCCAGAAACAAGGGTGCATGCCTGTAGTTCCAGCTACTCAGGAAGCCGAGGCAGGGGGATCCCTTGGGTGCAGGACTTTGAGGCTATAATATATTATGATCACACCTGTGAATACCCACTGAATTCCAGCCTGATCAACATAATGAGATTCCATTTCTAATTTTTTTTTAAAGAAAAAGTAAAGAAACAGGTTGTACAGCATTTTTCCAGAAAAAGCCCATCTTAATTTTGTTATGTCATGTTGAATTATTTTGATGAAATGAAAAGAAAACACTGGGCCAGTAAAAAACTGCCATTTTTACACTAAAATCACATATTTCTTAAAGGGTCACAAATTTGAACATAAACATATAGAAATATTATGTAGATTATTATAAACTCTTAAATAGTTTAATTTATGAATGCAACAGCCATATACTAGTATAGATAATTTTTCTAAGGTTTGTGATTTTTTTTATTGTCTTGTTTAGTGGTAATAGTAAGGGATGATTTTACTCTTAAAGGCTGGGGAGATACATGGATGCTACTCACGCCTAGTAGGTAGAGGCCAAGCATGATGCTAAATATTCTACACTACACAGGATAGACTCCCACATTAAATAATTGTCTGGCCAAAATTTCAGTAGTTCTGAGCTTTAAAAATCCCTAGTCTAGTTGCATAAAACAACATTTTTCTTACAATACGATTCATCTGAGCTGAGTGAATCTTGTAAAAAATGTCTGACGTGAAATTTTGTAATTACATTGTATCTTATAGAGAACGATTCCATTTGCAGAAGCAGAACAGAATCACAAAAGCTTTATATGTCTAACACTCTATGCTTAAATATAAAAAAGAGCATTTATAGTCAAGATAAATACATTATTTTATGATACAGGCAATAACACAATTTGTTTTGAATAATATATGCTTTCTTAAATGAACTTTTAAAAATTGATATAAAGACCAAAACAATTCAGTAAGAGGAGCAGCTGCCATAAATCATTAGCATCTTAATTTTCATGCATTAATTTCTATACAACATTTTCAACTTTTACCCTGTTTGAAAACTTACATCATAATGAATTCAAGTATGCTACACTGTTTTATCTCATAAATAGTTCTGTTATTTTAAAGGGCAGAAAGACAATTTTCAGTGTTTTGTTGCCAGCAACGGAAAGAAGTATGTGAGAAAATTAGCATTAATATACTAAAGGCACATTATTGATGAAGTTGTATTAAATACTAGGTGCTAAGACATATTGTTCTGTACATCATTTTCTATAATAATGATGATTTATTAATTAAAGGATTAGATGAGCTTCACACATCATGAGAGCAAGCAGCGGAAAATGGACTTTTGTCTTGTTATCAACATTTATCCATAGAGACTGTGCACATACAAGTAGCAAATATTTTGAAAACTCGTAAATGAGTCATCTATCTAATCCTGAAGTTTTCAAACAGCTGATCAGAGCTCCGTGGGTCACCACATTGAAGAAGTGAATGGGGACTAAGTAGAAAAGCTTGGAGCCCTCCAATCCTGCCCAACTAGGGATAATTTGCTTTTTGCTTTTGCTTTTTTTTTTTTTTTTTAGAAGTCTTACTCTTGTCCTCCAGGCTTGAGTGCAATGGATCGATCGATCTCGGCTCACTGCAAACTCCACCTCTTGGGTTCAAACGATTCTCCTGCCTTTGCCTCCCAAGTAGATTTGCTTTTTATCTGTTGAAATACTAATTCATTCAAAGACACAGTGTGGAAATTCCAGGCTCTGGAAAATCAGTACCACCAAACATTTTGTAAATAAAAGAAATTTAGAATTTGATGTATTCATCCAAATGTTAGAATTGTGTTCAAGATGACATAATAAGGTGAGTCTGGTATTAGAACCCAGGCTTTTGACTATTATTCCTGCTCTTTTGAAATTCATTCAAATCTACCATGAATAGAAGTGATTTCATCATTGTGATTCTTTAAAACTAAATGCAAAACAAATATTACCTAATTTATTGATTTCCTACTTTTGGTAGGGCATTATTCTAGATACAAAGACATAAATCACTGTGTCTATGTATATGTATATATATATTGTATGCATCTTGTATGAGAGATAAGGCAACCATACAACATATATAATACAAGAAAAAAGGAATAAACAATGCTATGAGGTAAATGCACAGAATATACCGCATAAGGGAATAATATAAGGCTGTAGGTTGTCAGCATTATTTAGTTAGATTTGATGAATATACACACAATATTTGAACCAAGTCTTAAATGATGATTAATATTTTGGCAATAAGTTGAGGAAAATGTCCTTCCTTAAAAATTCAAAAATAAAAAAAAGTATTTAAAGTATAGTAAGTAGGTAAAACCACTGAAAATGAGTATTACTTTGAAAATTACATTTTCAGTAGTTTGGAAATAAAAATGTTAAAAGAAAGAATTAAAGACTTGAAAGCCATGTTGCTTAGGTATGAGTTATGAAATTATTAATATTTTAGAATTCCATTAACTAGGTATGTTGAGAGTCAATATGTTATGTGGGTATTCACTTTAACGATTACGTAAGACAATGTTCTTATGAAACTTATGTTATGGGACTTATGGATGATTGAAATATATGATGTTTTCTATCCTAGAAATTTCAGAAAGATACATGTGATGCTTAACATTGACAATAGCCTGCATTAGGGAGCATTAACCTTATGCTATAAAAGTTTTCACAAATGAAGAGGGCTGACTATACCAGAGGAGCTATTGCTAAATTGAACATTCAAGAGTGTGTTCTAAATAGTACAACTTAGGCCCACACATTTTTTAAATCTCACTTTTCTAAATTTGAGAAATTATGAACATTGGCAGAGGAGAAATCAACATTCAGTATTCTTTCATTCAAATTCAGCAGCTAATGTTCTTGTTTGTGTGTTTGTTTGTTGGTCTTCCCAAGACAAATTATCTCCTTCCGTTTGTTACAGACTCTGTATCGGAAGCACATGCACCTGAGGCATAAAGAAAGCTGGGAAATTTGTAGAACCTCTCTTTCTTGGCTACTAAAGGGCAAAAAAGAAAAAGCTAGTACATTGGAATCTTTCTCTTGAACTTTTCAAATTGTTTTTGGAATACATGTGTCCCTCTCCTCCTGTTTGCAAAGCATGAAATGAGTGACTGAAGATGTCTGTACTTTAAGGAGAAAATGGTTGAAGGTAAATAAAGCCACCCATAGAGTGAAAAGGAAAGACACAGATGTGGAGAGATTCCTAGGCAATTCTAGTTTCCAACTATCTCTGCCCTTCTTTATGTTTTGTTTGTTTGTTTCAGTGATTTGTTTGAGTCTATGATATATGCAGTATATATGTTATGAATCGGTTGTTTGGATTAAGCTTTTGCAAGGGCTCTTTCTTCATCTTGTTCTTCTCTTCAATAAAATACTTTTCTTTGACATTTTTTGACTTTTCATAGCTGTCAGTCTCCCTTACAGCTATATGGGAATTATGCAGGTAGAAAATTATGAAGCCAGCAAAGAGGGTAAATTACTAAGGTAAGGAAAAAAGTGATTCATTATTGTTCTGTTTTATTAAGTTGTATGTGTATGCATGCATTCTGTGAGGTTATGCAAATAAATATCCAGATTCTAGAATCACAGAATCAAGGAATATTAAAACCAAAGACAACATATGGGAACATGTACTCTAAGTCCACAATTTTACCAGAAATAAAAAGATAAAATATTTAAACAAGATTTCCTAAGCTAAATCTCACTGAATAACAGAGAAAATGGAAAAATCAGATCACACAAAAAATATAGTAACCTCTGAAGAGATGAATGAATTGGTGAATTAATATCTTTTGGATTAAGGAAGAGGGAGGTGCACATGGTACCTTGCAGATCCAAACATATTGAAAAACAATATTCATTGGTCTTTAAGTGCAAGTAAAACTAACATCTTCTTAACATTACATATATTCATAATTTATTTTCCAGGTTCTTTCATTTGATGTTTTTCACAAATATAGTTTAGTACCTTATTCTTCAATATTTAGGCTCTAAAAATTAGTAGGTTTTGATAAGCCATATTTTGAATTACTAACTGCTGAACAATAATTTATGTATTTATCTTTGTATTTTTGACATTTTCACCCAAGTGAAAATCTATTATTTCTTTAAATTTATCATTTATCATAACTTTTCTTAATGTGAATATATCTTGGCCTATAACATTTTATAAGCAAAAATGATACATTACTTAACATTTTTATAATCTTAAACGTCTTTTGAAAATAAGAGAAATGTGACTGTTTCATATTGAAAACTGACAATAGACATTTTAAAATCCCTGGAATATCAGGGAAAATATGCTTAATATACACTAACAAAAATGAAGAGGGTTGTAAATATATTTTACACGGAGGAGCTGTTAATCTTTTCTTGTTCCCCAAAACATCTATGATAGCCTAGTCTTGGTTCTATGTTCTAAAAATATATTAAAATTGTTAATACTTTTATGTACATAGATTATAGAATCTAAAGTTTTCAAAGTATTTTTATTTTAAGAGGTGGGCATCAGCATGATTATTTCTCTTGTTTAATCATTCATTTATTGATTTACCCAGCTATTGTGTGTCTAGTATTATTTTAAGCCCCAGCTGTGGAGGCAAAGAGAGGACATACCCTTATTGCTTTATTTTTTATCAAGCTTAAAAGCTAGCATCACAAATGGAAGCATATTAAGCACTAGAAATGCATAAAAGTGGCAGAAGTCTGGTCTAGAATGGATCAGGCAAGACTGCTTGTGAAAGTGATCACTAAACTCATAATTCAAGGAAAGTAGTTTGGCAAACAAGAGTGGAGGAGGAGAACTAATAGAAGACAGAGGAGGTACACAAATAGTGGTCCATTTAGAAACACCTTGTTGGAAATTGATTTAAAAGTTAATGTGAGGCAGCTGAGAAACTAGAACATATAAAAACTAAAGTAGCTAACAGAGAAATAATAGGTCTGTAACAATAAATAATCTAGTAAGCAAGATAGTCAGGGACCACATACTGAAGTTTCTGTGAACAACAATAAAGAAGAAATATAGACTAATCTAGGATTGTAGAATGATTAGGTTTGTGTTCTGAGAAAAACAATCAACATGCATCTTAAGTTGATATTCATAACTTACACAATATCTCCCTCTTTTCTAATAAATTATTTGTCTCTGTGTCAGTTCAGAATTTTGAATTGTGTCCAGCACAGTTTGCATATTATGTTTGAGTTTTAAAATTGTGTCTAAATCCTATAGAGGACATGGGAGTTTTGTCTAAATCCTTTGGAGAATTCTATAGGGGAATTTCTTCTCCGAGACTTATTCTATACTTTCGAATTCAATGGGGCTCCTCTTTTTGGCCTTTGTTTAGAAAGCTGGGTCTTTAGTTATCCCAGTCTTCCGCATAATTACACAACTGTGTTCATTGCTGAGTACAAGCAATGGGAGGACAAATAATATATCGACCAGGCTGGCCCTTCCCTATTGGACCTACAGCTGCACAGAGCATAGAGAAAGCAGCCCCTTCAACTGAAGTTTGGCTTATGAGAACTTCCGTTGCCAGTTTCTGCCATGACTATCACTAGATATTTGAGCAGTGAAGTACGGGGGATGAGAGAAAAAAAAAAGACAAATGAAAAGCATGGAATTTCCACCCTACCTCTGAGCTTATGTATTCTTTTTCTGTATAACAGGCAAGATAGGGGTATTCTTTCAGAGTTTCCAAGGTCTGTGCTTCAGTGCTCAATTCCTGGTTTCCTGTGCAATGATTTCAGGATGGGGTTGGGGGAAGGTGTGATGGTGGTATATTTACATAACTTGCCATGTTAATTGAATTCTGCTCTTCTCCCCAATCAACCTGCTACAATTTACCTTTCAGAGCTCATAAATAACTGTTCCATATATTTATTTCATGTTGTATAGCTGTAAGATTTGTATCTTATGTGCATTATTATCCACATGGAGTTGGATACAGGTATCCAATGATAATGGTAACATTTGTTGAAAAACAATTCTTTCTTGATAAACCTTTGCTCCTTTGTCAAAGATCTGGTTTGCCTTTCTTAAATAATTGTATGTATAAATTTCTGGGTTCTCTTTTCTGCTATATTGATCTATGTGTCTGTCCTTTTTCCAAAATAACTCCATCTTCATTGCTGTACCTTTATAGTAGGTCTTGTACTCAGGTAGTGTTAGTTCTTCAGCTTTGTTCTTCTTCAATATTGTATTTGCTACTCTCCCTCTCAATATAAGCTTTTTAAAAGATTTGTTGATATCCACAAAATTACTTTCTGGGATTTGATCAACATTGCATTAAAGGAATAGATCAATTTTGGAATAATTGGCATCTTAAAATATATCTTTCTATCCATACATACAGCATTTCTTTTTATTTAGATTATCTTTGATTTCTTTCATCAGAGTTTTATAGTTTTCTTTATATTTACCTAGTATATATTTTGTGAGATTTATACAGGTATTTTATATTTTAGTGCTATTTCAAGTGACATCATGCTTTTAATTTCAAACTGCAATTATCTAATAATGATACATGCAAATAATGTTTATAATTTAGTGTTTAGTAGAGAAAACAAATCACAAACAATGTGGATGATACAAGGATAAATGCTTCTTAAACACGTGAAATGTGAAAAAAATATTTCTTATAAAGTAACATTTGTTTAACTTGACGTATCAGTAGGCATTCAGCATTGTTCAAGAGCCACTCACGTCAGTTTCTTACCCTTGGCAGCATGTGGATATAGAACCATAGCCTTTCATGTTTCACAATCTTGAAGAAGTGTGTGAGAGGGAAGGGGTGCATAGTTCACAAGGAGTTTTAGGAAATTCAAGAGAATAGTGTCAAAATCATTTCAGGATACTATAAATTACCATAAATTGGATAGCTTAAACAAGTATTTCTTTTTTATAGTTCTGGAGGCTGGAAAGTCCAAGATGAAAGTGCCAGGAGATCTGATGTTTGGTGATGACTTGCTTCATGGTTAGTGAATTGCTATCTTCCTGTTATACCCTTACATGGTAGAAAAAGAGATAGTTCTCTGGTATCTTATAAGGACACTAATACTATTTGTAAGGGCACCACCCTCATGATGCAATTACTTCCCAAAGGCCCCACTTCCAAATACTATCACACTGGGATTAGTGTTTCAACATATGAATCTGCAGGAAAGGGGTAGGGGGGACACAAACTCCAAGCCATTGCCTTCTGCCCTGACCCCTCAAAACTCATGTTCTTCTCACATGCAAAATACAATTATTCCATCTTAATAGTTTTCAAAGTCTTATCTTGTTCCAGCATCAGCTGTAAGGTCAAAGTCCAACATCTCATCTAAATACCATCTAAATCAGATATGGGTGAAACTTGAGACATGACTCATCCTGAGGAAAAATTTCTTTCTAGCTGTGAACCTGTGGAATCAAGCAAGTTAGGAACTTCCAAAAAACAGTGGTAGCACAGGTATAGGACAGACATTCTCATTCTAAAAGGTAGAGACAAGAAAAAAAAAAAAAGCAATAACAAGTCCCAAGCAAGTCTAAAACCTAGCAAGGCAAACTCCATGAGATCTTATGCCTCAGGAATATCCATCTTTGGCTAGATTCTCTGCCTCCTATGCCACTGGCATGGTGGGTCCACCTTCCAGATTCCCTAGGGCAGAATTTCCACCTTGTAAACTCACTGGAGTGAGATCCTGCCCCTAGGACTCTGAAAGACAGGGTTTCAGCCCTGACAGCTTTGAGTGGTCCCACCCTGTGCCATTGGGTGGTGGTTCTGGCACCTTGAAATCAGGGTTATTCTCTTCCTTCCTTTGTGAAATCTAGGAGGCAACCTGATTGTATCTGAATTGCCTTCAAGATCCTTTTTACCTTATCATGAAAAATAGAGCCCACTTCCAACTAAATAGCTTTACAGTCTTCTTATAAAATCTAAGACAGACAACATTTTTCATTCCTACCCTCTTTTCCCTCTAGGTCAAACTAACAATTTTCCTGCTGGGGTGGCTGATTAATTCCATGGTTCACACCATACCAATCTTTTCATCAAAGGGATGCTTTCTTACTTTTTACAATATAGACAGGCTGCGAATTTTCGAAATCTTTTAAGTTCTAGTTTATTTTGGCTTAGCGATTTCGTATTCAAGACATATCTCTCTTTTTGCATTTTACTTTAAGCAGTCAAGAGGAACAAAGACAGTTTTTCAACACTTTGCTTAGTAGTCTCCAGCAAAATATCCACTTTCATTGCTCACAATTTCTACCTTCGACAAAACACTAGAAAATAAACACATTTCAGCCAATTTCTTTGCCACTTAACAAAGTTTGCCTTTCTTACAGTTTCCAACACGATGTTTCTCAATTCTGTCTGAGACCTAACAGAATGAACTTTACCATTCATATATCTACCAACATTCTGTTCATTATTACTTAGGTATTCTCTGAGAAGACAGAGGCCTTCTCTCCAACTCTCCTCCTTTTTCTCTGAGCCTTCATTGGAATTATTTTTAAAAATCTCTTCACAACAATCTTGGCTTCTTTTTGCATGTACTTCAGAGCACTTTCCACCTCTCCCTAACACCCACTTCCAAAGCTACTTCCACATTTTTACATGTTTGTTACAGCAGCGTACTCACTTCTTGATATGCTTCTGCCTTAGTTTGGGTTGCTATAACTAATTACCATGGATTAAGTATAATAGCTTAAACAACAGATATTTATTTCTTATAGTTCTGAAGCCTGGAAGTCCAAGATCCAGTTGCTGGTACATGCAGTGTCTGGTGAAAGCTCATGTACTGGATTGCATATGGTGGTCTTCACATTGTATTATCACATGGCAGAAAGAGAGTGAGCTAGCTCTCTGGAATCTTCCAAGTACACTAAAAAACATTCATAAAAGCTTTACCCTCATGACCTAATTACTTCCCGAAGATCCTCCCTCCAAATGCTATCATATTGGTGTTAGGGTTTCAACATACGGATTTGGGTGGAGACACAATGAGTTTGTTATAAATGTTTAAGGCTAGCTTCTATTGCATGACCAAATTATCACTGAAAGAACATTCACACACACATCTGCCTCTGAAATCCTGGAAATGTGGGGAAGCTGTACACCTGTCAGAATATTCTACATTATATCTTGCTTTGGTTGTGTGTCTTTTATTATTACTTATTCTTAAGCTCACTAGCAACATACTTTATCATTTTATGCCAATAAAATCAGAGTCCTATATGGAGAACATATTCTATATAGGTATACATTTTTAAATGTAGATTGAAAGTATATTACAAAGGTAAATTCAAACTATTGAGAGTCGTTAGACATAGGAGTATTTTGGAGGAGGAAACATGAATGACTTTTACATATTATTTAATATACTTCATACTGGTAGCTATTCACAAGAAGAATATAATACATTATGTATTCTACAATGCAGAAAATAATGTGAAATAAAATTATTTGCATATTATTAAGTAAAACAAGATTGAATAATAAAATGTAAAATGTAGATTTTAATTTTTAAAATAGAATTTTATAGTTTAAAGTCTTTTAAAATGTTTATCATTGTAACGAGTGAATTTATCTTATTAAGGTTTTGATTTTCTGTTGACTTAGGAGATTGATAATTTTTAATGCAATCATTGCAATTTAGACAGCCTCATGTGAAAATCTTGTTCAAGTTTGCTGTGCATTTTTTCTATTCTGTCATTCTTCTTTTTCTGTGATCTATAGGAGAATATTCATACTCTGGATATGTTTTACAAATATTTTATATCCTACTGTCTGGGCTTGCTTTTAAATCTCAGTTGATATCGTTTGTTGAACAAATATTATTGATTTAAAAATTGTCCACTTTATAAATTCTTGAAAGATTTGTATTGTTTGGGTACCAAATAATAACACTTCACTGATAAAAAAATCACCCAGATCTACAATTAACATCATACTTAATCGTGATAAACTAGCTGTCTTTTTCTAGATGCCTTTCAGAACTAGTGAAGTAGGTCCACTCTTATCACTAATATTCAGCATTATACTGGAAGCCCTAGCTAGGGAGATAAGAAAAGGAAATAAAAGTTTACAGATTGGGAAAGAAGATATAAAATGATGGTCTTTATTGGCAGATTACATAATTGTCTTTGTAGAAAGGTCCAAAGAATTAACAAAAATTCTCAGATAATGAGCTCTAACAAAAAAATCTACTTAGATCATATGAATTCTAAAGAAAATTTGAAAATTAATGGAATATATAGATTTACCAGCTAAAGCAGTATTTTAATATTTATTTTTAGAGTATATGATGCCTAGAATGTATACTGAAATGAAGACACAAAAGTTACACATCCATATTCAAAATCAAATCAACCTAAACACAGAATATATAATTTTGAGAAAAGAAAGAGAACTCAAAATACAGCATAGACTAAATTTAAAATGCAAAATGATAAAATACATAAAAGAAAATAAAAAACAGAAGAAATGCCATGCATCCTTGGGATTAGTAGTAACTTTTTAGATATTAATACAACGTGAAAAGTGTGACCCATGGGAAAAATTTGGTAAGTCTGACCATATTAAAGTTTAAAATGCCTCCTCAGTGAAAGACAGCGTTAGAAGAATGAAAAGATCCAGAATTTAAAAATAATATTCACAAAACACACATTTAACACAAAACTTATACCTAAAATTTGTAACTCTTAAAACTCCATAACAAGAAAATAACCACAATAAAAATAGGCGAAAGATATGAACAGATATTTCACCCAAGAAGGGATATAAATGGGAATGAGACATAAAAAAGATGTTCAACGACATTTACTATTAACAAATATCAAATTAAGAGATACCAATACATACCTATAAGAATGGTTAAAATCTAAAAATCTGTAAATACCAATGCTGTTGATGATGCAAAATTAAAAGACTCTCATATATTGTTGTTGGGAATACAAAATGGTACAGCCACTTTGGAACACAGTTTGTCAGTTTCTTACGAAGCTTAACATAGTCTTATCATATGATATAGCAATTACATTCCTACATATTTGCCCAAAGGATTTGAAAATTTATGTCAAAAATTTTACGAACATGATTTATCAGCTTTATTCATAATGGCTCCAAATTGGAGACAGTCAACCTGTCCTTCAACAGGTAAATGAATAAACAAACTATGATCCTTCCATACAAGGAGATATTGTTCAGCGACAAAAATAAATGAGCTCTGAAGACAACAAATGACATGGATAAGTCTAAAATGCTTATTGATAGTGAAATAAGTTTCAAAGGCTACATGCTGTTTAAGTTCAATTATAAATATTCTAGAAAAGGCAAAACTGTAGAAAACAGTGTTTGTCAAGGCCGGATGTGGTGGCTCACTCCTGTAATCCCAGTACTTTGGGAGGCCAAGGCAGGTGGCTCACCTGCGATCGGGAGGAACAGCCTGACCAACATGGAGAAACCCCGTCTCTACTAAAAATACAAAATTAGCTGGGTGTGGTGGTGCGTGCCTGTAATCCCAGCTACTCCGGAGGCTGAGGCAGGAGAATTGCTTGAACCAGGGAAGTGGAGGTTGCAGTGAGCCGAGATCACACCATTACACTCCAGCCTGGGCAGCAAGACTGAATCTCCATCTCAAAAAAGAAAGAAAGAAAGAAAGAGAGAGAGAAAGAAAGAAAGAAGAAAGAAAGAAAGAAGAAAGAAAGAGAGAGAAAGGAAGAAAGGAAGAAAGAGAGAAAGAGAAAGAGAGAAAAGAAAGAAAGAAAGAAGAAAGAACAAAAGAATGAAAGAAAGAAAGAAAAAGAAAAAGAAAGAAAGAGGAAGAAAGAAAGGAAGAAAGGAAGAGAGAGAAAGAAGAAGGAAGGAAGGAGGGAGGGAAGGAGGGAGAGAGGGAGGGAGGGAAGGAAGGAAGGAAGGAAAGAAGGAAGAGAGAAAGAGAAAGCAAGCAAGCAAGCAAGCAAGAAAGAAAGAAAAGAAAGAAAGAAAGAAGGAAAGGAAACAGTGTTTGCCTGGGTTTCAAGAGAGGGGAGGAAGGCTGAATAAAGGCAACACAGAGACTATTTTACTGCAGTGAAAGTATTATTTTTGTTACTGAAGTGGTAGTTACATGACAGTGTACATTTATCAAAACCCACAGAATTTCACAGCATAAAGAGTGAACCTTACGGTATGCAAATTGTGACAATAGCCTTTAGGAGATCAGGAGATCCTAGGATAGATGCAGACTATTACAAATCAGCTTCACTTTATTACACGTGTATGGATCAGTCTCATTAAAAGGTGTGGCAGGAAGTTGCTGACCTAAATCATTTTGGAAATGAGCATAGTATGTAAGACTAAAAGCAATAAATAAAAATAAAAACTGTAAATTCATGGTGTAGTGTAAGAGCCAATTTTCTCACTGTTAGCATGTAAAGTTGCAGATGAGCAAAGAGAAAATAGAATGATCCACATAGTAATGAATTAGAGTCAGAGACATCAGTTATCTCACCTTTAGCTTGTTCTAGCTCAATATAGACACGGATGGTTACATATAAAAATATTTATAGATGTATGTATATAGGTGAGTTAGTATACACATATATTTCCTTGCTCTGTCAGCTGTGAGGGCCTAAAAAATGACACCTCAGTAGTGTCAAGTACACCTAGATGTTGGTTGATAATACTAGTCACCAATAAAAGAAACCAGGGTTCCTTGGAGAAGTGGCTGATTCTAGGACTGGAGAAGAAAATATACTAGATGATTCCAGAGTATCTTTTATCCCAAAATGTAAGGAAATACCCCTTTAGCCCCCCAAAACCCCACATAATGGTTTTATGTGGAATGGACATAGCCAACGGATGGAGCTCCAAATGTCTAAAGTAGTAACAATTTGAGCAAGAAAATAAAGTAATATTGGGCTATAACAAAAAGTAAAAATAAGTATTCATAAGTCTATTAATATAAACAAATAATTAAATAAGTACATAAATGGGAGAGAGGAGACAAATTCTCCTGTGCAGAAAAGTTCCAAAATATTTAGGTAATTATTCTGCTCTCAGCGAAGGAGTGTAACCCCCTATTCTTTAATGTTGGCTGCCCATAATGACTTCCTTCCAGAGAGAAGGAAAGCAGGGAGAAAAACACTGTTTTTACTGTGGATTAACCTGAGAAATACCACCTCAGTCAGATGATCACGGATAATATCAGCAGTAATAGGTCACGTTAATAATTTGTACTTTCCATATGAAGTAATGACAAAGGCAATTTACTTCCATGATCTTCCTCCCAAAAACTAAATCCCCAGTCTAATCATACAAAAACATTAAAAAAACCAATTGAGGCACATTTTACAAAATACCTGAACAATACTCCTCAAAACTCTCAAGATCATAAAAAACAAGGAAAATCTAAGAAACTGACACAGTCAAGGGCAACCTAAGAAGGCATAAATATGAACCGTGCTATGTTTTTCTGGACTATATCCTGGAACAGAAAAATAATATTAGTTAAAACTAGGGAAATACGAATGGATTTCAGCATGCGTTTTGGTTAATAATGTATCAGTATTAGCTTATTAATTACAACAATGATACCAGACCATGTAATATATTAATATTGGGGGAAACTGGATGTGAGGTAAGAGGGCATTCTAGTGCCACAAGTTTTCGCTAAACTTATAATTGTTATAAAATCATAAATTTATTTAATTTTGCTTACATGGAAATACACTAGAAGCGAAGATAGAAGATAGATACTGGTCAGGCCATGCTATCATTTCATTTTTATTTTTATTATTATTGTTAGTTTGTAGGATTGTTGTGAATAGTAGTGTTGATAAACAAACACTCCAATCACATGTTTACTTAAAAATAAACAATCATGTCATTCTTCATTACCAATTTGAGGAGTGTATGTGTGGGTGTGTGAGTGTGTGTGTGCATATGTCATAATTATAAAAAATGGAATTGAAAATTACCATAACATTGAGAATTCTAGAGCCTATTTATAATTTTTTTAGATATTTTACCTAGAAATAAATACAACACACATAAACATGCATACTATATATATAATATATATATATGTTTCACATATACACTTTAACTGTAATTGTTTAAATTTTTCTCAGCACGTAATACAGTACCTGGCTGATAACTACTGTTCGATAAACATTTGTTTATTGCCGTAAAGATCTTTATAATAGATTGCACCTTCATTCTGTTTGTTATAAATCTATGTTGTCATTTATACGTTTATTAGATCTGAACAACTAAAACCCTACAGATTTGTGAAAAGTAATGTTAAAAAATATGCTTAATCAAATAAATTCCACTTTGGGAAAGTTGCATCCCACATAAAAATTCCAGTGCAACATGTATGACTCATTATTTCATTTATTTATTTAAAAATGCTTTCCATTAACAATTTGTATACCAAAATCTACTAAAATATTATGAAAGTGATGATTATGCTTTTCGTCTATAGGCAGAATCTTTTTCTTTTCTTGGAATTATTGCCAGAAAAAAAATCTATCTCAAGAGACTATCTAAGAGGAAGTTCTTGAGATTTCTTCTTCCTCCTAGATTTGTATAGGTTATTATTTATATCTGGTTGCAAAAAGGAAAATTGAACTGATTCTCACCCCAATGCTACTGATAGTGAAATATTCTGAAATGAGTATTTGTTGTGATGATTGACAGCCTAATTATATGACCTCTTAAGTAACCATGATTACATTGTGATTTCTCATGTTTAAGTTTTTAAGTGTTTTGAACCGCTCATAGCCTTCAAAATTAAACACTTACCCCCAAAAGGCAGTGGAACAAATATATAAAGTTGAAAGACTCTCCAGATATATTTTCCAGAAAATATCCCATTTCTGTAAATTATTTCATTATATTTACTTGCTAAAGTCTTCCTAGAAAGAATATTTCTCTATTATATTTTAGTATTTTTAATAGAAAAATATGCAAGTTACATTATCTTTGAACATCTCTGATGTGTTATTTAATGCAACATAAAACCTTAAATGGCTAAGAAAACATATTTTTTAAAATGAGTATTTTAAAAAATTATATTACTATTATTTTCAGAATTGTGATTTATTTTTTAAAAACTAGTGACTTTATCATAATCAAAACCAAAAACATATGAATTTATCTTGCTACCTATTTTCTTATATTTAAGATGTATTCACACTTTAAAAAATATGAAAATTTTAATTTAATGAAAAATGTATGTGCATGTGTGTATTTGTGTGCATATATATGTAGTTTTATATTAGTATAATTAATATATATATACACATTTATGCATACACACACAAACACATAGCTTTTCAGAACTACTAATGCCTGTTGCAGAAATTCAGGAAACCATTCTGACTTGGCCAAAATAAATGATTTACTGGACTAAAAATCAACTTCAAGACATCCTGGCACCACTGAAAGTTCAGAACCTGACAACAGTGACTCTGATTTTCCAACAAAAATGAATTAAATATCATTGTGGTTAGTATTTGTGGTTTGTCTTGCATCCTTTAACTTTTTAAAGGTTCTCTCCATTTTCTCCATTATGTTTTTCTGTCTATTTAAATAAACATTGTTTCCCTTTTTCTTCTCTGTTGCTTTCACAATTGTAAATATTAGGTGCAGTTCTTTCTTTTTTTTTCTTATTTGGGATATATTAGAAATAACACATATAAGCACAACTGCATGTTCCTGATAATTCTATATTATTCAGACTGAATGTTTTAATTTTGTGTGTCTATTAATCTAATTGTTATTAGTTGCTTAGATATATATTTACTGAAGATATAACTTTGTTCTTAGAATCAAGGACAGATTTGCTGAAAACAGGAAATATAAATGCATCCACAGTAGTCTCTGTTTCTGTTGTTTTTCACTTATTAATATCTACATTAATGCTTTTCAGTGATTTCTTGAAGAATTTGTTTCCCTTGCTTTGCATGTTATTATTCCTTTTTCTTTTTGCCAATTTAATTTTATCAGGTTGTTATTTGCTGGCTTTGAGAATCATGAATAAGGCAACATTTGAGTGCTGTCTGAAAAGATAAGCAATATTTAAACATGCAGAGGTGAGATAGGGAGACAATCCCAAGTAGTGGGGAAAGCAAAAGTAAACACAGGAATATTCAGATCTCAGAGTATAGAGAGGTGCTGAACAATTATATGGATATTCTTGAATATGTATGGCTAGATTAAAGGTATCTTCAAGAGGAGTTTAAATACCTTTTACTTATTCTGTAACCAATTATGAGCTCATCAAGATTTTTTGAATGTGAGAAATGTAATCACATTCGTACTTTAAAGTTACTAATGTAGATATGAACTACAAAATATTTATCAGGGTGAGATTCAAACCTGTCAATAGGTTAGCTAGATAGAATGTTTCCAAGGAAATGTAAGAAGGGCTGGGACTGGAATAGTAAGAAAATAAAGAAAAGAGGATTACAGATGACTGAATTGTCACATCTAGATTACTTGAAGGAAAAAGATTCTAGAATTCTATGCTCCTATCATTAATTCAGTCATGAACAATCAGTTTCAAAATCCCATCAGCAGGCCAGTGGCACACACCCGTAATCTGAGCACTGAGCACTTTGGGAGGCCAAGGTGGGTGGATCACTTGAGTTCAGGAATTTGAGACCAGACTGGGCAACATGGTGAAACACCATCTTTACAAAAAAAAATTAAAAAATTAACTCATCATGGTGGTGTGCACCTGTGGTCCCAGACTTGGGAGGCTGAGGCAGGAGGATCACTTGAGCCTGGGAGGTCAAGGCTGCAGTAAGCCAAGATTTTGCCATGGCACTTCAGCCTGGGTGAAAGAGTGAGACCCTGTCTCAAATAAAGATCTCATCACTTCCTAGAAATAAAAGTACGATGCATAACTAGAGCAAAGAAGATAATTGAGGCAAACATGATTCTTTAATTTTATTTTTAATTGAATTTTTAAAATAAAGATGGGGTCTTGCTATGTTGGCCAGGCTGATCTCAAGCTCCTGGCCTCAAGTGATTCTCCTACCTTGGCTTCCCAAATTGCTAGGATTACAAGTGTGAGCTACCACACCTGGCTCACATGACTTTTTTGGGTTTTTATTTTGTTTTGTTTTGTTTTGTTTCTCTCTTAAATCATTTGTTTCTTAAGTTGACCAACTTTAATGAATGCTTTTTGTGCTATAGGCACTACACTGGAGATGGAGATGAACCAGTCATTACTCTAGTTCTTGCAGTGCCCAGTGTAGGAAGATCACATTCAGTGAAACCAAACTAATTTTGAGGTAAGCATAAGAAATTTAGTGTTTTTAATCTAGGATGCCTGCTCTCTTAAGGATCAAAATAGAGTCTTGATTCTATATATGGGCTCCAGAACTGTTAGGTAACATTTGTACAAATAATCATATGTACATTATTCAGATAAATAGAGCCATAAATTTTATCAGCTAATGATACTGATATATATCCCCATAAAAATTAAAATCAATTAGAGTACAATGAATAGAATGAAATAAATCTTTGAAGAGACTATATTGTGAATATCTATAGATAGATAGATAGATAGATGGAAATTTTTTTTTTTTTTTTTTTGGAGAAAGAGTTTCACTCTTGTAGCCCAGGCTAGAGTGCAGTGAGCAATCTCGGCTTACTGCAACCTCCGCCTCCCGGTTCAAGCGATTCTCCAGCCTCAGCCTCCTAAGTAACTGGGACCACAGGCATCCCCATACCCGGCTAATTTTTTGTATTTTTAGTAGAGACAGGGTTTCACCACATTGGCCAGGCTGGTCTCAAACCCCTGACCTCAGATGATCCACCTGCCTCTGCCTCCCAAAGTGCTGGGATTACAGGGGTGAGCCTGTAGAACCAGAGAAATTATAATCAGAGAGTTAAAATATTTAAAACAATTCATTAACACTGAATATAAAAGAAGGAAGAAAGTTTCAAGAAGGAAGGGATTGATAAATGCTGCAGAGAGGTCCATAGTTTTGAAGACAGAGCAATTGCAACTACAAAAAACATTATCTTCTGTAGACAGTAGAAAGAACAGTGGTTGATTAGAGTAAAAAATAAAAGTAGTAAATATGTTCAAGAAGTCAGTATCGGTTCACTTTTGACCTTCAGACTGTGCTACTACTAAATTATAAATAATATGTGTTTTCTTTTAATTTCTATCATAAGGAATTTTTTGTTTTATTGTAGTAGAAAGTTTATCCTTTATCAAAATGAGTACCATCTGAGGATAATTTTACTGACTTACAATACATAGTTAAGGATTTATTTTTATATTTTGTCTTTATTTTAAGAAATTGAACCATAGAGTCAGGTCAACTTGGGCTCAAAATTCAAATTTTGTTATGATCTGGTTATATAAACTTAGAAAAATTACTCTAAAATTATTTCTCATATGAAGACGAAAATATGCCTATTTATTTTGCTGTTTATTGGAATTAAATGATGTAATGCTGATATGATTATATTTTTCAATATATAATTGCTATACTTTTACCAGTTTCTAATTACTAATTATTTTTGAGATATTAATATTATAAAATTAATTAGCACCATATATATTATATATAAAATGTATACATATGAGGGAAAATAACATGAGGCATCTGGCAGTCTGATGGGAGGTTAGAAAAGGAGCCCAGAGTGAGTTACAAAGAATCAGTCATCAGTAAAAATGGACAAAGAATGGAGATGCTGGATCAGCAAAATATTGATTTACATTAAAGCATATTTCAATATGGTCTGTAAAATCAAGTGCACTGGAATTCTTTTTTTCTTTTTTCTTTTTTTTTTTTTTTTTGAGACGGAGTCCCGCTCTGTCACCAGGCTGGAGTGCAGTGGCGCAATCTCGGCTCACTGCATCCTCTGCCTCCTGGATTCAAGTGATGCTCCTGCCTCAGCCTACAAAGTAGCTGGGACTAACAGGAGCGTGCCACTATGCCCAGCTAATTTTTGTATTCTTAGTAGAAACAGGGTTTCACCATGTTGGCCAGGATGGTCTTGATCTCCTGACCTCGTGATCTGCCCGCCTTGGCCTCCCAAAGTGCTGGGATTACAGGCATGAGCCACCGCCCCCAGCCTGGAATTCTTTATCTGTTTGGTTTTGTAAGTGGTGAAAGAACATGGTGTCATGTTTTCTATAACACAACAAATTTCAAGTTATTTATTACCTTAAAATGATATCAATGTTAGTAGGATCCCATCTAGTCTAAAGGTTTTTGAAAAGGGCACTTCAATATATTTTGATTTTCATGATCTCTTTCTGGGTACTGCAGTAGCCATTACAACTTATTAGTGCAGAAAGGCAAACACCTACTGAATTTGAAATGATTGATCTAAATGTAATATTTACAGATGGCGATTGCTTAATCTTGTTAGCCTGGAGAATAGTTCTTACTGTGCTTTCAAAGTTTATATCATATATTAGAGAAACATTTTAATTATTTGTAGCAAATAATTAACTTATAATACTTAAGTTGCTAAGTAACTAAGTGGTTAAGTTGCTAAGTAAGCAAATAATACATATTGTAGACCTGCTATAAATTGAGGAAGAATTAAAATGATAGTGATTACAATGAAAAACATAGTAATAGTAATAATAATAATAATTGTTACAATTATTAATAAGCCATGTGTCAGATCTTGTTTTAAGTGATATACAAGGACTAAATTGGACCCAAAAGCACTATGAAATAAATAGCTTTCTAACATCCTTTTTTCATGTAGAAAGACAGTGAGATACAAAATGTTTAAGCAACTTGGCACAAATCTCTGAGACATAGAGTGTAGGAGAAAAGAGAAAGTGGTAAGTAATCTCCAAATATAACCACTAATTCCTTCTATGGCCATGTGAGCATATTGTTCCTCACATCAAGAGATAAATTCTATTTCCTGTTCTCTTGAATATGAGTTATTCTTGTGACTTGTTTTTATATTAAATGTGGTGCAAATGACATACTTGGGGTTCTTGAGCCCAGAATGTAGTGGATTCTGCTTCTCCCTTTTGAGTTCAGTCTCCCTTATGTAAGGAAAACCAGGCTAGACATTGAATGATTAGAAGCCATATATGTGGGATCCTGGAAGATGAAGGCCATCTTGCATATTTTCACCCCAGCTGAGTTGCCAGCTGAATGGAGCTGCATAAGGGACTGGCCTCCAGCAAAATCTACAGAAGAATTACCCAGCTGAACCTAAGTGAATCCACAAAAATCTGAAAAAATAATAAACCATTATATTAAAGCACCAAGTTAGTAGATGATTGTTACACAATTGACAACTAATGCAGATATTGAAACCTATAGTTAATGTGCTAATATAACTAAAACCTAAAACATCTTTGTATGGCTTAGAGGAGAGTTATTCCTGCTGGAAGTATGAATTATAAAATGCTTCTCCGCTTGGCAAAAAAGCAGACCTTGCTCTGAGCTGATGCAACCTCATGCAAATGCACAAATTACAAGAAGCTTGCAATCCCTGTTTCAGTACAAGCAACTCTTCCTGTCTTCTTATCCAGGTAAAACTTACACAACTTTAAATGCTAAGAAAAATAGCAGAATTTGTAAATGGGGAAGACTGTGACAAATATTTAGACTTCCATGATTGTAAGGGGCTGAAAGTCTGAAAGTAGGTGAAGAATACAGACAACAAGCACTATACGATGGGTAGCCCATGGCTTAAGCCTCAAAAAAAAATTTTTCCAGAGTCACAAGAGGATGGGAGAGGAGCAGTCTGCAAGCAGCCGTAGGAGCAAGACCTTGAGACGTGTCCATCAATGCTACGTGAGTAGCTTCATGTGTTTTCTTTCTTTCTTTTTTTTTTTTTTTTGGTTTTTGTTTTTTGAGACGTAATTTCGCTCTTGTTGCCCAGGCTGGAGTGCAATGGCATGATCTTGCCTCACTGCAACCTTGGCCTCCCGGGTTCAAGTGATTCTTCTGCCCCAGCCTCCCGAGTAGCTGGGATTACATGTATGTGCCACCATGCCAGCTAATTTTTGTATTTTTAGTAGAGACGGGGTTTCTCTATGTTGGTCAAGCTGGTCTCAAACTCCCGACCTCAGGTGATCTGCCCGCCTTGGCCTCCCAAAGTGCTGGGATTACAGGCATGAGCCACCGTGCTGGGCCTCTGCATGTGTTATCTTATCACTCTGACTCCAAACCATTTCCATACACATTCAGTCTTGATCAATAATTTTACTTCCTAACATTTTTAATGATTTATCATTTGTTTTAGAATAAAGTACAATCACTCTATTTTAATTCTGAGGTATTGCCTACAGACCCTGACCCAAACAGTGGATGAATAAAACATACACTAACACACAGATATTCTGCTTTGCCAGTCCTGCTGAGTGTCCGACTGCCTGCACAACAAGAGAGGTTTGTCGCTGCACTGGTCCTGAGCAGCTCTCATTCCAGGCATTTATTTAGTATACAATTAACAACAGAAGCTTTGAGTAAACACACTTGTGGATAATTAAAATGGTTAAGAGAGTAGTTCTAGGAATGATTAAAGCTCAGGTACCACAGTCTAAGGAAAATACCATTAGGGGGAATATCCTTGGTTGACCTCCACCTGAGAGGGCCATCTGGCTCAAAGGTTAGTTAATGGAGGTAGAGTAAACAGACTTAACTGGGGAAGGCTCTATTGTCCCTAGTATTTAACCTATGACCTAATGCTCTAAGGTAAGAACCGGCTGCCTTCAGCCTGTTCAATTATTACAAGCTATGTAACCTTTGAGCCTTCCGAAAAGTTTATGACTATTCCCTATAACTCTCCCTAATATTTCCTTTTAATACTTCTGCCACCATCCTGAGTGAATCCCAACATAATTGTCTAAATATACTAAACTAACCCTCATTTGAAGATATTTTCATAGGTTTTCAATACCTATTACATTTTACTACATCTTCTTTCCAACATATCCCTCACATCTCACCCTAAACATTTATTTTTTAAGGGGCATTATTTGACTTTAACAAGATGAGTTCCACACATTATGTTTGTACTTCCCTTACTCTACCCCTTATCACACTTTATGAATATTACTAGCTTAACGTTACTTTTTTCTCCAATGAACTCTAAACTCTATAAGAAAAGGGATCATGGAAGTCTTGTTCAATATGTATCCTCACTTCTCGGCACAGGAACTGATGCAGAGAAGTGGAATAAAAATATTTGTGAAAGAATAAATGAGGGCTGGGTGCAGTGGCTCATGTCTATAATCCCAGCACTTTGGTAGGCCGAGGTGGGTGGATCACATGAGGTCAGGAGTTCCAGACCAACCTGGCCAACATGGCAAAACCGCATCTCTATTAAAAATACCAAAAAATTAGCCAAGCACGGTGGTGGGTGCCTGTAATCCCAGGTATTCAGGAGGCTGAGGCAAAAGAATCACTTGAACTTGGGAGTCGGAGGTTGCAGTGAGCTGAGATTGTGCCATTGCACTCCAGCCTGGAAGACAGAGTGGGACTCCTTCTCAAAAGAAAACAAAACAAAACAAAACAAAAACAAAAACAAAAATAACAAAAATCAATGAGTTTCTGATGCTGACTTAAGGCAGAATGAGATGTCAGAATGCTTTCTACTGAAGAGAGGAATAATTTAAGCATGAAAATAAGAAAACAGGGTAAGCATTATGGGGTAACCGGAACGGGGAAAATAAAGGATTCAGTCCTGAGACCCAAAATGCTGGTGACTCAAGTTACCAAAATGAAAAGAGAATCAAATGCCTCTACTAACCTGGTTCATGAAATGACTTGGATCTCTTCTTTTTCTTCTTCTTCTCTCTCTCTCTTTTTTTTTTTTTTTTTTTTAGACAGAGTCTCGCTCTGTTGCCAGGCTGGAATGTAATGGCACAATCTCGGCTCACTTCAACCTCTGCCTCCCGAATTCAAGCAATTCTCCTGCCTCAGCTTCCCTGAGTATCTGAGACTACAGATGCCCACCACCATGCCTGGCTAATTTTTGTATTTTTAGAAGAGACAGGGTTTCATCATGTTGGCCAGGCTGGTCTCGAACTCCTGACCTCAGGTAATCCACCGGACTCGGCCTCCCAAAATGCTGGGATTACAAGTGTGAGCCACCACGCCCAGCCAGATCTCTTCTTTAATAGAGAATAAAAACAGAAAAGCACAATCTAAAACCACACCAGGACAATTGTTTGCAGGGTTTCACATTTCAAATATATCTGCAGCTTGCCTTTGACTTAATAGTTACTGGTAATTATTTGTAATCATAAAAATGAAACCATTATATCTACTGTTTCCCATTGAAATATTCATTTTTTTTCACATTCTCAGTTTTCTCATACGTAACTAGCAATTATTGTATAAGAACAATATCCACTTATGTTGTTTACAGTAATTGTGGTTTGGGCTCTGGGCATCACAGCAGGATACAAATTACCTCAAGAACAAACAAATGCAAACACCATGGTTTATTATCTTCCGTAGCTCAAGTTCTTGTCTATCTTTCTTCAAATATAACATATTAATGATCTTAAAAATCTTGTATAGTATATATCGCGTAATAATTTTCTCCTGGACTGTTGTCCATTTCTGGAACAGAAAGGAGACTTTCATGTCATTTTTTTGTGTGCGTGCCGAAAGCATATTTAAAAATAGAAAGCCTTATCAGTAGAGTGGCCCAACATCTATCAGTTAGTAAGCAAGTTTCAGTAATTTAAAGGATAAAAACAGCATAAATGCATAGTAAAGAGAGAAAAAAAAAACAAATACAGACAGTCCCTGACTTACGATGGCTTGACTTACAGTTTTCTAACAGTGGGATGTGAAAGTTAAAGGCATTTCACAGAAATTATACTTGGAATTTGGATCTTTTCCCAGGCTAGCGATATGCAACGCAATTCTTTCTAGTGATGTTGGGCAATGGTAGTGAGCTGCAGTTCATGATGCTAAATAACTGATACTGTACTCTACAGTGCAGTGTATCAAGAAAGTCTATGAGATATTCATAGACTTTATTATGAAATCGGCTTTCTATTAGATGATTTTCACAAATGTTGGCTAATGTAAGTGTTCTAAGCACATTTAAGGTAGGTTAAGCTAAGCTGTGACATTCAGTAGGTTAGATGCTTTAAATGAATTTTCAACTTAATGATATTTTCAGTTTACGATGGGTTTATCCATTCATAACTCCATGGGAAGTTGAAGAGCATCTATAGATCAAGAATAAATACATAAATAACCAAGCAGACAGTTAATTAACCCTAGGATCATTTATTGATCATATGATGATTAAAATAGAAAAATGGACTGGGTTTCTTCAAGCCTACTAGTGGAATAGTTATACATTAAAGTCAATACAAAAGTTAAAAACAAAAACTTTGGTGACTCTTGACTTTCCTAAAGGCTTGATTCTGTATTTCTGATGTGTGAGAATCATAATGGATATTTTATGGGAAAACTGAAGGGTGGAAGGTGCTACTAGATTTTAATTTGGGGCTTTGATTCCTAGAGACTTACTTTTGAAACCAGGTCCTGAAACATTACTATCCCACCACATCCATAGAATCATTTCAAATTACTACTGTGTGGGCATAGTTGGGCAGAATCAAATTCAGAATATACACAATATAGCATTTCTGTGTGAAAGTACTAAACAATATTAGGACGTACACTGCCTTAAGCAAATAAATCAAATAATATAAAGCCTTTAAGTAAGTTTGCTTTTAAAAATTATAGATTCATAGAATTTTTAAGCTAGGCACAATCTTGTAAAAATTGAGTTTAACTCTTAATAGATGGCACATTACAGATCACATCTTTGGCAGTCTGAGAAATGAAAGGCTCTGATACTTGACCATCTAGTTCTTGCTTTTAAAAATAATTATCCACAAAGCATTTAACAACTAGAAAAAAAAAAGAGAGAGAGAGAGAGTAAGCACCTAGCAAAGTATTCTTACAGGGGCTGGGACTGTCCCTCCAACCACAGCTTTTTCATGTGTAAAGTGAAAATAGTATTAGTTCTTCTACAAAGGTGAGATTTAAATGAGATTAAGAATACAAAAGAAATTTTCACAATACCAGAACATAATAATTGGTTCTAAAATAATAACTTTAAAAATAATAAAAAATAGTTGTTAATGTTAATAATTTAACAATTAATAAAAAATTATTCACATTCCTTTCATTATAGATGCCACTCCTAACCTCCAAGCAATATTCTCAACTCTTTTATAGAAGCTCATCATTTAACACTTTTATCTTGGATTCCTAGTCTTTGTGCACGTCTTCTTCCTTGACACTTGAAAACTTTTCTGAAATCTACTACCCACATTCATTTTTACTTAAATTTCTTCCTTTCTGCAACATCAGAGTACATAACTTACATATTAATCACATATTTGGCTCCCTGGACATTTTTTTTGAACCTACATTGTGTGTTATCCATCAAAGTGTCAAAGAAACAGATGGTCGCCGTGGCTAATGACAATACCATTGATGAAAATCTCCATGAAACTTATTAACAGAAATTAATTTATTATTGGATATCGTTATTTTGAGGAAGAAATTTAAGATACCTAGAAAGTTAGCCTTGGATGATGCCTATGTTTATGGGCAAGGAATACTTAAAAAACAATAAGAAAAAGGAGCAGAAATATCAAAAAGAAATTATAAAAAGCACGTACATTGTTAAAGTGTTGAAAGTGGAGAGGTAATGTTTGAAAAGATAATGATATTAAGCACTATTAAATGCTACGGAGATAAAGAAGAGGACTAAAAGTTTCTATAGATCATTTTTGTACATTTTTGAATCTATTATCGCATGGACATGTTCATATTTTGCCAGCTTCTAAGTCTAGATTTTCCTTACTTGAGCTTCATGTTTACCTTCTCATTTTTGTCCTCCCTTGTATGTTTGGCCAATAGGTTGTTGTATCTGAGATAAAATTTCACACATTCTATCTTCCTGAAGTTCTCAATGTCTTAGTGGAGTGTTTCTCAAAATGTACCTCCCAGCACACTTGTGTCAGAATCCTCCAAGCTATAGTGCTTGTAAAAAAAAAAAAAAAAAAAAAAAAAAAATCAGGTATCAGGCTCTGTCCTTTATCTAACCTATTAGACTAAGGGACATATCTTCCTGCCTCCTTTTAGTGATACCTTTTTACATACTTTTCTGTTGGGTTTCACCACGCAATATGTGTAACACATTTCCTCTTTTCCTGGGGTCAGTTTCAATAATGCTGGAAAGATGGAAGCTCCAGTGAATCCATGCTTCTTTACTCCTTAGATCAAATTCAATTAATGTCTCACCCAAGGCTTTAAATGCTTGGAGTTTGGAGGCAGATAGCAAGCCTCCTGGCAAAGCTGTGTGCCTGAAAAAGCTTTTCACCTAGAAACTCTTTCTTTCATAATTGCAAATACAAATTTAAAAAAAGAGGATTAATTCTGTTGACTGAAAATAGTAGAGGAGACTCCAACTTACTTAATTTTCTTACAGCATTTATTTTAGAAAACTTTTGTAATTACAATTCCTTTACTTTTTCTCTTTGAAATGTATGGAAATTTTCATAAAAGCTAAATAATCATCTTGCCAAATTTACACATAGGAATTTCTTTCTCAAGGAATTCTTTTCTTTTTAATTTAATGATCAAGGAAAATGAAGCCTCTATCTCCTAGTTTCTACAGAAGGGTAGGAGCCTAAATTCCATCAGCACCTTCCTCCAAGTTGCAAAACTACCTTTTGTCATAATATATAAAATATAAGATATGTAAGAAATTTATTTTTCTTTTGGATAAAGCTAATTAGACAATCAGCTAATACAGATCATCATTATTAAAGAAGAAATACCTGAGTATTTATCTTAATAAACTTGACCAAAAAGAAAAATATAACAACAAAGGAAACCAAAAAGTAAGAAAAGGGGAAAACAAAACTAAAATTTGAAATTAATAAAATAGAAAACCAGTAAACTCTTTTGAAAGACAAATACAATCCGAAAGCTTATTTTATTTGACGTGAAGAATACAATAGATAAATGTCTTTTGAGATTGAGTAAGAAAAACAAACACATTAGTTTCAATTAAGAAAGGTAACATTCAAATATATGGAAGACTATAAAATAATTAAAAGAAAGTGTAGCTTTTTACTGTGGAAAAATACACTTGGAAATTTCAAGGATGTTGATGATTTCACGAAACATTTTTACACTTGCTTTATATCTTCCAAAACCAAAGACATTTAAGCAGTAGCTTTTTTCTTCACAATTCAATTAGTTTTCTTAAATTAAGATTTAGGCATTAATTTAATGGAACATTCCCTCTCGTAAGTCTAACATTTCTGAGGCAGTCATCTAAAATGATACTTGCCTGGGAGGCCCAAGGCAAAATAGTTTACCTTCAGGCCTATTACGCATCACTGTGTAGGCCTAATGCAAATTAGAATTCTGACTCTAGTCTAGTTTGGAATTTTGATTAGCCTGAGGGAATAAGGCAAAAGAGGAAAGAAGGAAGTCTTTATTGAATATCAACTATATATCAGAAAGTTTTTTATCTATGCTTTTATGTAAACAAATTCATTTGATTTTCACAGCTGAAAAAGATATTGTTACATACTTTTCATTTTTTAGATGAAAGACAGAGTTTCAAATGGGCCAACTTTTTCAAATTACCCAGCAGGCAAAGGTGAAGTTCAAACTTAGTATGATTGATGTCAAAGGCCATCCCCTTTTCTGTTGTGTAATACCTCACTTTGTTCAGGAAAAGGTAAAGAATGAGTTCATCAGTTTCATATTTGGTTTATTTGCCTTCTTAGATTTGTTTCCTACAAAATTGTATGCAAGCTGATACTCTTACCAAACATGTATTTTGGAAAGTAGGAAATTTTTAATGTATGCACAGGGCTGGGAAGTGGAGAATTCAAGAAAAAAAATGATGGAGAGAGTGTGCAGATATATAGATATTAAACACTTTTTAATGAGTAGTTGTGTATTATATGCTGTTGTCATGAATAGGAACAAACATGAAATGAAACTTTAATTCTTTGGTGATAGATATAATAAACAAGTAACAACTGAATAAGAAAAATAATTTCTAATGTTCTGATGTTTTTTTTAAAAGAAGAATAGAGTGCAACTGGGGTAGAAGGAATAGGTGATAATTTGTGGTGGTTTGTTAAGGAAGATCTCTAAGTTGAGGTGACTAGAACTGAGAGCTGAATGAAGAGAAGAAGCTGGTTTTGCAAATAAATGTGAAGCCCAGAACTCAAAGATAAATCGGAAAGCAAATACAAAAATCCTGAAGCATGATCCAACAGATAAAAAAGCCTGTGCATGGATTTTATTCTATCTTGTGAAGGCGATTAATTGATGCAGATGTGAAATCTTAGAGAGAAAGAGAAAGGGACTGCAGAAGTCACAGTAACTCTTGTTACAATGCAAGTGTCAATAGAGATGGGGAAAGATGTACTCAGTGTGAATTATACTAGCTTTATATGAGCTTCATAGGCATATTTGCTAAATGTGTCGGTCTTCAAGCATGAGGTATGATTAGGCTTTTGCCTAAATAATTAATTCAGTGACTACATCTTTCAGAAGTTGTCACAGATTCTTCAGCCAAAAAAAAAAAAGTATACATATACTGGAATGCCATAGATTTGCATTTGTATATATCTTACTGTTGTCTTTTTCCACTGTGTTTTAAAATTATTTAAATAAATCTTAAGTCGTTTTTATTCTACTGCTTTTAGGTTTTCAAGAGTATACACCTTACTCATTTTATGAGTTTAATGTTTTTTTAAATGAATACATGAATGTTATAGTGTCATAAAATATTTGTTATTTTTCACTGATTGAAATTTTACTCTTCAATATGGAACTCTTCTACTTTGCCTCCCTAGTATTATGCTATTGAAAGACTCCATTCAAGGTAAGAATACTGAAAACTATAAAGTCTAAAATGGACAGAATAACTAAGAATTTTATCATTGGAATTGGATAGCTCAGCCTCTAGGGCAATTTTTTTTTCTTTTGACTGAGATTTTAGAATCACAATTTGCATTAACAGAATCTATCTTTACAAGTCAAACTCCCAGAGTTATAAATTTTCATCTAGTACAAATATTTGCATGGAACCAACTGCACTCAGGACAATTCTTTATTAGTATGGTCTGTTATGAAAAGGATGCACCAAGTAGAAAGACCCAGCATTACATTGATATAGATGAGTCTCTTATTTTCATGATAGTATACCAAACCTCAAAAATCTTCCAATTGCTCTGATGTTATCCCTAGAAGGCAAGCAAGTCCTCAGGGCAAAGCTTATATCATTAGATATGGACTTTGATGTGAACTCTTTTATTTCTGTTCACTTTGTCAACCTTTTCAGTACCTGAGTCTGTAAAATTGGACATTGGGAATGGCTAAAATTTGGCTCCAGAGATTTGCAGCAAAATTAAACTATTATGCTAATTGCCTCCAGGATAGATTCTGCTTTGGAGATCAACATGCTGTATATCACAATAATGATGGGACTCACGGCATGGAGGATGGACAGAGGAGCTTTCTCCTGGAGTGGTATTTCTGGAATTTCTAGTGTCAGGTAAAGTTCACAGCATGCTCTGTAGATTCACTTTTATCACAAGTTGTGGTTCAATACAGAACAAGAAGTGTTATTTATTATGATGACCACCACAAGTCATCATGCAGCAGACCATTCCAAAGTATTGGTCGAGATAGTCATTGGCTATATTCCCCTTTATAGCCTGGAAGACTCCTGAACAACCAGAATACATTTAATTTATATTATCTCTTTTAAAAATCCAAATAAAAATTTTCTATGTTCTTAAATTAATCCCATCTGGATACCTCTGTGTGCCTCTTCCTTAGAACATAAATTTCACATTGCTGCAACACATGAAACATGTATCTCTTGGCAAGTCACAATGTTACTTTTTGTTGACAATCTGTGCCAGCTTGCAATTTGATGTTGCTACTAAAAATTAGAGATGGGCATGCCTGTTATTAACACTGCCTCAAATGTGAAAGTGAAATTATGACTGTAAGTTGTCACTGCCAAATTATCCTGTGCCAGTAGGTATTATAAAAGGGGATAGAATACACAACAATACATTGGTGGAAAAGGCGTAGATTATGGTGAAATATTTGTGTTTACCTTCTTAAAATAGAAGGAACACGATTGTCTGGATTGTCTAGATCTTTGATAAACAAAACATTCTAGTGCAGTGTACCAAAACAAATGCAATAATGTAATAAATGTAATAATGTGATATAACAGTATTTTAAAGAAAAGGCAATAAACTCAGGCCAATCTTGAAGACTTTTGTTATTGTGAAATTTCTGCCCAAATGAGCTGTTTTACTTCTTTCCTACATGTTTCAAGCCCTTTGCCAGTTTGTTCACTCTACTGTAGCTATACAAGCCTTTTATCTGTTTGATCATGTCCCAGGACTTTTTTAGTTTCTTCATTATTTATTTTTAAACTCTCTGCTACCCATATACTTACAAGACCAGTCTCTTCTCTTTATTCAAGTCTCATCCAGAAATCTTTAGCTCATCTAGGAAATCCACAAAAAACTGTCACCCCTCTTCTCACCCTAGATGCACTCTATTTAGTATTATGGCAATTAACAAGGCAGGCAGAACTCCATAACTCATGCAGTTTTCGTCATATTGGGTAGAGGCAATAAGCTAGTAAGCAAATGCATGAAGAGAATAATTTCAGATTTCTGTGTGAACTTTAAAAAGCCTAAAGCAAGATACTGTGGGTCAACAGAGGTGGGAGAACAGGATGGTTATTTAATATGTATTATAATTTATAAATAAAAACTTTAAATATTAATATGAAAGTAGAATAATCTCTACATAACCACAGAGTTATATTTACAACCCTGAATGGAAGAATGATCAGATAGCAATCAGCTAATTTTGTTGTGTGTGTCCCATTCTCCTCAAATGTAAGTATTTGAATATCTTTTTACAGGTGCTACTTAATATCTCTCACAAGAAAAGAAGAAATCCCTCTGCCTTTTAATGTTCTGGGAATAGAAAGAATAAAGGAGACTGAGGTGAATCCACCAAGGAGTATAGCAATTTCTATTTGTCTCCTTAATAGTCCAACACTTCACTCACACAACAATGTTACGTAGTTTCATCAAATGATGAGTCCAGCCCCTTTCTTCTGCAGAAAATGTCAGTTCACTGCTCCTTGCCTACAAAATAGAAATTAGAGAGATACCAGCTTTTCTAGCCAGACTACAAAATTACTTTGACTAAATCGCTAAAAATTCAGCCTCTCTACCAATTTCCACAATACGTCTCAAATGGTAACTTTAATCTCTGTTTGTGCCTTTCAGGAATCCAATGAGCAAACAATTCTTTCTCTAAAGCAACTCTCCCTTCAGCCCATTGTGTTGTAGGTCTTTTCAGTCCCCTGAGAAACTCATAATTCCTGTAGCTGATGTCCATCTTCCCCAAAATGTATTACCATTTATTATTTGCATGTATGTCCTTTTTCATTTGCTTTATTCCTATGGGTTTATGCTCTCCTTCCCTTGTTTTCTTAAAGATAAAAATCCCCTTACTTTTATTTCAATGATGTTGGGAAAGTGTCGTAAATAAAGGTTGTCAATGTTCTCTGTTCCTTGAACTTTTAAATCAATGATTAAAAACAGCATCATGATAAATTTTAAGAAAATAATATATTCAGATGATATTATTTCCTTTGGCATAATGATTGTGATTTGCACTTAAAAATGATTACTTGTGGAAAGATTTTCATATGCCTTACAAATGATCCAGAGCTTCTGTGAAAGATTTTATGTGTACAGTTAAAAACGATTTTGTGTATATTGACTTAAGAACATGTATTAATTTAGGGGTTCCAAGATGGCCGAATAGGAACAGCTCCAGTCTACAGCTCCCAGTGTGAGTGATGCAGAAGACAGATGATTTCTGCATTTCCAACTGCGGTACCGGGTTCATCTCACTGGGGATTGTCGGACAGTGAGTGCAGGACAGTGGGGGCAGTGCACCAAGCATGAGCCGAAGCAGGGCAAGGCCTCGCCTCACCCGGGAAGCACAAACAGTCAGGGAATTCCCTTTCCTAGCCAAGGAAAGGGGTGAAAGATGGCACCTGGAAAATCGGGTCACTCCCACCCTAATACTCTGCTTTTCCAATGGTCTTAGCAAATGGCACACCAGGAGATTATAGCCCACGCCTGGCTTGGAGGGTCCTACGCCCATGGAGCCTCGCTCATTGCTAGCACAGCAGTCTGAGATCAAACTGCAAGGTGGCAGCTAGGCTGGGGGAGGGGTGCCCGCCATTGCTGAGGCTTGAGCAGGTAAACAAGGTGGCCCGGAAGCTCGAACTGGGTGGAGCCCACTGCAGCTCAAAGAGGACTGCCTGCCTCTGTAGACTCCACCTCTGGGGACAGGGCATAGCCAAACAAAAGACAGCAGAAACCTCTGCAGACTTAAATGTCCCTGTCTGACAGACTGGAAGACAGTAGTGGTTCTCCTAGCACGCAGCTTGAGATCTGAGAATGGGCAGACTGCCTCCTCAAGTGGGTCCCTGACCCCCGAGTAGCCTAACTGGGAGGCATCCCCTCCAGTAGGGGCAGACTGACACCTCACACGGCCAGGTACTCCTCTGAGACAAAACTTCCAGAGGAACGATCAGGCAGCAACATTTGCTGTTCACCAATATTCACTGTTCTGCAGCCTCCGCTGCTGATACCCAGGAAAACAGGGTCTGGAGTGGACCTCTGGCAAACTCCAACAGACCTGCAGCTGAGGGTCCTGACTGTTAGAAGGAAAACTAACAAACAGAAAGGACATCCACACCAAAAACCCATCTGTACGTCACCATCATTAAAGACCAAAGGTAGATAAAACCACAAAGATGGGGAAAAAACAGAGCAGTAAAACCGAAAAATCTAAAACTCAGAGCTCCTCTCCTCCTCCAAAGGAGCGCAGCTCCTCACCAGCAATGGAACAAAGCTGGATGGAGAATGATTTTGGTGAGCTGAGAGAAGAAGGCTTCAGATGATCAAACTTCTCCGAGCTAAAGGAGGAAGTTCGAACCCATAGCAAAGAAGTTAAAATACTTGAAAAAAGATTAGACACATGGCTAACTAGAATAACCAATGCAGAGAAGTCATTAAAGGAACTGATGGAGCTGAAAACCATGGCACGAGAACTACGTGGCGAATGCACAAGCTTTAGTAGCTGATTTGATCTACTGGAAGAAAGGGTATCAGTGATGGAAGATCAAATGAATGAAATGAAGCCAGAAGAGAAGTTTAGAGAAAAAAGAATAAAAAGAAATGAACAAACCCTCCAAGAAATATAGGACTATGTGAACAGACCAAATCTATATAAACAGAACCAAAGACAAAAACCACATGATTATCTCAATAGATGCAGAAAAGGTCTTCGAAAAAATTCAACAGCCCTTCATGCTAAAAACTCTCAAAAAATTAGGTATTGATGGGCCATATCTCAAAATAATAAGAGCTATTTATGACAAACCCACAGCCAATATCATACTGAATGGGCAAAAACTGGAAGCATTCCCTTTGAAAACTGGCGCAAGACAGGGATGCCCTCTCTCACCACTCTTATTCAACATAGTGTTGGAAGTTCTGGCCAGGGCAATCAGGTAGGAGAAGGAAATAAAGGGTATTCAATTAGGAAAAGAGGAAGTCAAATTGTCCCTGTTTGCAGAAGACATGGTTGTATATCTAGAAAACCTCATCGTCTCAGCCCCAAATCTCCTTAAGCTGATAAGCAACTTCAGCAAAGTTTCAGGATACAAAATCAATGTGCAAAAATCACAAGCATTCTTATACACCAATAACAGACAAACAGAGAGCCAAATCATGAGTGAACTCCCATTCACACTTGCTTCGAAGAGAATAAAATACCTAGGAATCCAACTTATAAGGGATGTGAAGGACCTCTTCAAGAAGAACTACAAACCACTGCTCAATGAAATAAAAGAGGATACAAATGGAAGAACATTCCATGCTCATGGGTAGGAAGAATCAATATCGTCAAAATGGCCATACTGCCCAAGGTAATTTATAGATTCAATGCCATCCCCGTCAAGCTACCAATGACTTTCTTCACAGAATTGGAAAAAACTACTTTAAAGTTCATATGGAACCAAAAAAGAGCCCACATTGCCAAGTCAATCCTAAGCCAAAAGAACAAAGCTGGAGGCATCATCCTACCTGAATTCAAACTGTACTACAAGGCTACAGTAACCAAAACAGCATGGCATTGGAACCAAAACAGAGACACAGACCAATGGAACCGAACAGAGCTTTCAGAAATAATGCCACACATCTACAACTATCTGATCTTTGACAAACGTGACAAAAACAAGAAATGGGGAAAGGATTCCCTATTTAATAAATGATGCTGGGAAAACTGGCTAGCCATACGTAGAAAGCTGAAACTGGATCCCTTCCTTACACCTTATACAAAAATTAATTCAAGATGGATTAAAGACTTAAATGTTAGACCTAAAACCACAAAAACCCTAGAAGAAAACCTAGGCAATACCATTCAGGACATAGGCATGGGCAAGGACTTCATGTCTAAAACACCAAAAGCAATGGTAACAAGAGCCAAAATTGACAAATGGGATGTAATTAAACTGAAGAGCTTCTGCACAGCAAAAGAAACTACCATCAGGCAACCTACAGAGTGGGAGAAAATTTTTGCAGTTTACTCATCTGACAAAGGGCTAATATCGAGAACCTACAAAGAACTCAAACAAATTTACAAGAAAAAATCAAACAACCCCATCAAAAAGTGGGCAAAGGATATGAACAGACACTTCTCAAAAGAAGACATTTATGCAGCCAACAGACACATGAAAAAATTCTCATCATCACTGGCCATCAGAGAAATGCAAATCAAAACCACTCATTAAAAAGTCAGGAAACAACAGGCGCTGGAGAGGATGTGGAGAAATAGGAACACTTTTACACTGTTGGTGGGACTGTAAACTAGTTCAACCATTGTGGAAGTCAGTGTGGCAATTCCTCAGGGATCTAGAACTAGAAATACCATTTGACCCAGCCATCCCATTACTGGGTATATACCCAAAGGATTATAAATCATGCTGCTATAAAGACACATGCACACGAATGTTTATTGCAGCACTATTCATAATAGCAAAGACTTGGAACCAACCCAAATGTCCAAAAATGATAGACTGGATTAAGAAAATGTGGCAAATATACACCATGGAATATTATGTAGCCATAAAAAGGATGAGTTCATGTTCTTTTAGGGACATGGATGAAGCTGGAAACCATCATTCTCAGCAAACTATCGCAAGGACAAAAAACCAAACACCGCATATTCTCACTCATAGGTGGGAATTGAACAACGAGAACACTTGGACACAGGAAGGGGAACATCACACACTGGAACCTGTTGTGGGGTGGGGGGGAGTGGGGAGTGATAGCATTGCATTAGGAGATATACCTAATGTAAATGATGAGTTAATGGGTTCAGCACACCAACATGGCACATGTATACATATGTAACAAACCTGCACGTTGTGTACATGTACCCTAAAACTTAAAGTATAATAATAATAAAAAAGACTTGAACATAAAAAAAGAACATGTATTAATTTAGATATCTGAGTGTATATTTGCATATAACAATTCAATTTATTTGTGGAAATAAAACATTTAAGGAATAAAGCTTAATAGCATTCCTTTATAAAAAATGAACTATATTTCAAACTCTGAATGAATATTAACTTTTAAAATTTCAACATAATCATCATGCTTTTTTAAAAATATTGCTCTCTAATTTACAGTTATCTCCTTTCAGTGAAGTGACACAAATTCAATTAAGGAATTGAATGCCTTTATCAAATGACAAGATTTTTAGATTTGAAACACAGGAGCGCCAGTGTGTTATTCAGGGAAATAAAAAGTAGGTGTCATTTTATCATCATTCATTATTAAACTGTTAATTAAAAATTTTTTTTCCTAAAGCATATTTGCATTTAACCCTGTTACATTAATTTTGAATTTGAGAAATAGCTAAACATTGTTATGCATGGTGGTAAGTCTCAAAAGTTTTTGTGACCTAGTTTGCCTAAAAGTCACATATTCAGGATTCAGTAGAAGTCTTAGAATCTATGGACAGAAATACAAGAAAGAAACAGACTTAGAAATATCAATTCTCAGCACAGAAAAACTAATTTTATGGAAGTCAATAATACTAAGATTTATAAAATCAGTATTTTTAGGAATGTGATAAGAAGGAAGTGATTACTCTCTGTAATACTGTTCACATTGTATTAACCTCAATGTAAATCAACCAAATACCCAAATAACCAAATTAGAATTACTGATATATCATTTGTTTTGACTTTTCCAAACAAAGCTTGATTAATGGAAACAATCAGTGAATGAGAATTGAAGTCATTGATATGACACCACATCTTTAAGCTGCTTTATTTATTTATTTAATGTATTGTCTCTACTATGTGCCAGACACCTTTTTAGGCACAAAAAAAGTTATTAAGGTTAGCAGCTTCCCTGATCTCACGTAGGTTACAAGTTTATACATGTAGGTTATGATCATAAAAGAAACATCCATATTACTCATTTGAATATTTAAAGATTCTTGTCTACAGTGAATATTATTTCTTTTACTACTTCCCACAAGAATTATCATACACTTATTATTGATGTATTCTGAAAACTAGAAAAGCTGCTTGAAATATGCAATCGTAGTTTGATACAATTATATAGGTGTGTGTGTGTGGCTACAAAGTATGGGTGCTTTTTTAAAACACAAAAGTCAAGAATTTTAAAATGTAAGGCAGCATTTTACTTCAAAACAGTCATTTTTAAGAAACGTAGAAATATTCTGATTATCTACCTTTGTTAGTCTGAGTTCCTAGGAAAACAGGTAAGAGTGAGAAGAAAGCAAACTAGGGAAAGGAATAAAACCACAACAAACAAATATAAGGTGACACACTAATGAGCTGGTCATAGCTTCACAAAACCCTGCTCATGATAGATCATGTGGGACATCTCCAGTGAGACCACATGGAATCCCTGCATCTCCAAACACAAGAGAGGAGGGGCAGTCTGTTTAACTTTCAGATCTTTCTGGAATGCAGCATCTCACTAGTCACTCTCTCCTAGGGGGTCTTAACTTCCCTGAATTTCTAGGTTCTTGATCTGACCCTTCCTGGCAGCCATTAGGGAAGCCAATGCATCCATCCTCAACACACCCCTCCCGCAGTAGAGTACACACTGAGTTTTCCTGTAATTGAACATAAGTAAGACTCCTAGGCCTGTAGAACCATTGTGGCATTGGTGGCTGGGTACTCACAGCTATGGAAATGAGCCATTCTGCCAGGAAACAGAACAAGCTGCCTAGAGAAGGAAAGGTGGAGGAGTGCACAGGGCCCTAGTAGTATGCTAGTTGAGTGCAAAAACAAAGTCCACTACTACTTCTGTATTTCTCTCTCACTAGACTGTGAGACAGATATACTTGGATTCTTGATATATTATTCTCTGGATTTAACTGCGAAATATTTTATATATTTTCAAAATTAAACCACTCATTATACTGAAAATTAACATCTATAATGACATTAAAGATATTAATTGCAGCTGAAGATGGAAAACACAAAAAATTACACTGTAAAGAGCAACTAGTTAATTGGTTATATCACTTCCAGTATTTTAAAATAACCTCACTTTCTAATTTTAAACACACACACGTGTATTTATAAAAAAGAAAATTATAATTTGATACTATATACAAAGTTAGCTTTTATTCCTTAGCATGTTATTTTTTTTTACCTCTAACAAGCTGAAGTATCATATTGATTTATTTTAACAGTCTTCTTGCCCAAAAGATATTTCAGTCGTTACACAAATTTGTAATAAGAGTCTTTGGCTACAGTAGAGTTACATGTGAAATTATGCAAGTGCTTTCTTAAAAAATATTTGACCACTTCTCTGAACAAAAAGTAATAATGCCATTTCCAGATTGTAACTTTTAAAAATTTTTTCCTTCATATATTACACAAATTGACTAATACCACAGTTCATCTAGTCAATTTACAAACTACATCAGCTGTTTATTGTTTAGCAACTCTCTACTTAGGCACCTTAGACTTAATGAAAAGAAAACAGAAGGAAACAAAATAACATATTAAGAATGCTTTTTATATTTGTGTACTCATCACTATCTTTACACTTTTTAAAAAGATAACTTAGCAAAAGTAATATATAGCAATTCTTAATGCAGTTTTTTAATGCCAATAAGGAAAAAAATCTGATCTTCTTCACCGCCTCACTTAACTGGAGTTCATGAATAAAGTATTTTTAAATAGATTAGGTAGGTACATTATAGTAATTGATACCACAATTAGTATGATAGATAGAGAAAAATTGATTTTTGAACCTGTAAATCCTACTTTGTATTTTGAATTCTATGTATTCTGAAAAAAGATGTTGCACTTTTAGTACCTGTTGCCTTAGTTTATTATTACCTTTTCAATCATGATTGCTGAGTATTTTATAGAGTAGCACTTTTGTCTCTTCAGAAAAATTATGTGGTAGGTATGTTCTCAATGGTGTACATGTGGTGGGCTGCAAGTACCTATTTCAGGAGTAAATAACTTATTACCACAGTTGATGGTAGTGTTTCTGGCAGATAACCCTTGGCTTTATTAACTAGCAGTAGCACAAAATATTTGTATTAGTCCATCTTCACACTGCTATAAAGAACTACCTGAGACTAGGTAATTTATAAAGAAAGATGGTTTAATTGACTCACAGTTCTGCATGGCTGGCGAGGCTTCAGGTAACTTACAATCATGGTGGAAGGTGAAGGAAAAGCAAGCACCTTCTTCACAAGATGGCAGGAGAGGGGTGTGGGGGAACTGCCACACTCTTTTAAACCATCAGGTCTTGTGAGAACTCACTCACCATATGAGAACAGCATGGTGGAAACCACCCCCATGATCCATTCACCTCCCACTAGGTCCCTCCCTTGACACACGGGGATTACAATTTAAGATGAGATTTGGGTAGGGACACAGAGCCAAACCATATCAAGATTCAAACCATTTTCTGAACTCTGAAGTGTTATCTGAAACATTGGTTGATATTGTATCACAGTTCAACTTCTACCTCCACTAATTTTTGCTTCCTTCTTTTCCCTTCCACAGATGTTTATTTCAAAAACACTCCTTAATAATCCCTCTGCCTTCACCTCAGAGTCTGATTCCTGGGGGTCCTATCCAGTGACAGAGTATTTAAAGAACAATTAAGGAGTCTGCAATTTTTTGAACTCATAGTTTACATTGTAGAGTAAATATGGCAGCAAATTTTTATGATTTGTTGTGTTGAGATATGGATTCTGGAAAGTCTTAAGTGAATTGTAAGTAAAAATGAGTATCTTAAGGAGACTATTAGTGGAAGAAGAAAAATTATGAGACACTATGGGAAATGCTGACAAAGAAAGAAGACAACTGTTGCTGGTAGAAAAAAAAGAAATAAAGATTAACCTTGTTAGGTAGTGGGACCATTTATAGCAATTCTGTCACTTGCAGTAATGTGGTAAATAGAAAATGTAAATAATGAAAAACTAGATTTGGCTATGGAGATATCAAAGCAGCTGGTTTAAAATACCAACTGGTTTCTTTTAGCTGTGTAAAGTATGTGAAGAAAGATAGAAGAGATAGAAAATTAAACAGTTCAGTTTTCAAGAAAAATGTAGAAGAAAGATAAATAAAGAAAACTTTGACAGATTTTATAAGAAAAAATTATTTCCAATTTTTTTAGATGGCAGTAGGGTCTCAAAATAAGAAATGGACTCAGGTTAAGATCATATTAAGAGTATTGCTGGGCAATTCTGTATTAAGCCTTAACAAACAATTTTATGGCAATAAACACTATAAATAAAGCAAAAAATAGTTTTAAAAAGTTTTTTAAGATAATTGTCTCACAATAATCTAATTGTTACACTATGCCAGTGAGTCCTGTCTCAAAGGGATTTTGGACATGTCATCCTCTAACAGAGTGAATCCCAGTAAGTTTCAGAGGAACCCTGTGAGTTTTTAAGAGAATCATATTGACAAAAGTAACACAAGCTTTTATGGAGATAAATAAATTGCAAATTTAAAACAATCATTGGGGTCCCCAAACATCTATGGGCGGGAAGTAAACTAAGAAGTTTACTTGATTGGAAACATGGGTTATTTCCTTCAGAAAAATAATTAGAAGGTCTCAGGAAAAAGGACAAAGAGTCTACAGTGGAATCAAATAACTTGAAGAACCATTCCTAGAGTTTCCTTTAACTGGCAACATGCGCCCCACAGGATTTTAGAACTGCTGCAGATCAATCACTGCCTACTATTTTCTTACTTTTTAATCTGATGTTAATGAAAGTTATACTTATTAGAAATCATTATATGATGAGGTCAGGTATGCACCCACGAAAAGAGTGTAGGCAACTTGTTTCTGAAGATTGAGAATAATTATATTTATGGAACTATATTCATTGATTCTCTTTAAATCAGATAATTTAGAGGCTGAGATATTGGACTTTGAGGAAATGTTGTAATAGGATGAAAGATTCTAGAGACTTATAAAAGGGGAATATTGCATGCAGGAGAAATGTAAATATTAATACTTTGTTCGCAGAGGTACTTTAATGGTAACACAAAATTTCTGGTACAATTTTTACTGAGAGGTGGAGTCTAATTCTTCTCCCCCCACTCTTCAATCTCATTAGGCCAAAGTGACCGGCTTTATCAATAAAATGTTGCAGGTGTAATATTTTGAACTTGAAAGGCTAGGTCATAAGAAGTTTAGCATATTCCATATAGGCTTCTTGGCACTCTCATTCATACTTAAATTACAATATAAGATGTCAAATTACCCTGAGACATGTGGGAAAGGGCATGGTTAGGCACATTGCCTAACAGTTACATCTGATTTAAGCCTTATAGTCATCCTCAACAAGGCACTATATATATGAGGAAAACATGCTTAGAACTTTCAGGTTGGACCATCAGGTAGCTAAGGTCCACTGTGTGACTTTCTGTGATGCCACATTGAACAAAGTACTCAGGTAGGGCCCTGCCCATATTCCTGGCTCATAAATTCAAATTGTGACATATAATAAAATGGTTCTTTTAAAACACCCAATTTTAAGGTAGGTGAACCTCTAGATATTGTGAATCAGAACAGCTTAGGATATAAAAATCCTGTACTTCTTTTAAAATTTTTAACTGCACTTATAGCACATATAATATGTAATACTATATATATTACCCAAACTATATGTTAAAAGTAATGACAAAAAGTGCAATTACTTTTGCACCAACCTAGTAAAACTTAATACATCAATCTTACACCTAATTTTAAAACTATAGTAAAAGCCTGATAAACTTAAAATATAAAATTGAAAAAATAAGGTGTAAACAAATGAATAAGTAAAAAATTAAGTAGTGATGATTTAATAGGATATTTAATAGAAATTTGGTTGAAATTTAACAGAAATTTGGTTGGGAAATATTTTAAGTCCATAAAAATAGACTTAATTCAGGAAATAACAATTACTTAATTTTTCACAGAGTGTCTAATCTATAAATTCTGTTATCATATTGGAAACATTTGTGGTAGCTAGAGAATGTATGTTAATGTAGGGCGAAGGAGTTAATACTCATATAAAAATGGAGAGTAATTAAAGATTTTTGAGCAAAGAAACATTGGTCAGTATATGTTTAAGAATATTAATCAGATGATGATCATTAGTGTGATTTTGTGTGGTAAGAAAACAAATAGGGAAGGGAAATAATTAAGAAATTATTACAATAAGCCAGGCAATTGATGAAAAATATCTCAACCAATGGAAATGCAATGTCAGAAGCTTTTGAAGTGAGTTGTTTGGGTCTAGCTTCAATAGGTCAACGTGACTGAATGAAGGTAATGAGAGAAAAAAGGGTGTTGAACCTGAGTTATTCAACAAAAGGAGATGCCATTATGAGATTTTGAAAAGCAAAAGACAAAAGACAGTTTGGGGAAATACAAAACACTTATTTTTTTCTCTAAAATATAACAAACTTTTTGTCTTAATATGTTTCCTATCCTGAAGTTATCTGTACATAACAACTTGAAACGTAAGTTATATTATTTTAATGGTTTGAGAGTAATATTTTTGAAGATTATGAAATTTGTTTTATTAAAAATACTTTCCTATTTTACTTTAAACTTCCTTAGAATTTTTAAGAATATTTTAAATATTTTGAAATGTTTTATGAATGCGTTTATCTCTTATTTGCTAACTTTTGCTTGTATTTATAGTGTGCTGACTAGCTGCTGCTCAGAAGTAATAGGAAAACCACGTGTAAAAAGCTATTCATTAAATCCTGTAAGGAATCTGTAGCTTCTCCATACTAATGAGATATTTAGCAAAAATCACTGACAAATTATATCTCTTCTTTCATTTCTTTGTATTTTTATGGTGCCCCATTGATTCAAGCCTACAATATTTACTGCACATCTGTTTTACATTTACAAATATACAGAATACTGCTTCATTTAATGTTTTATTTCTTACATCCCTTATGCCTGATGCAATTACAGCATTTAGGGAAAGGATAGAAACCTAGCTGAATGAGTAGGAAGAAAAAAGTGTATCCGCAGCTGTATAATACTTAAACTTTATAGTACATACAAAGAGAGTCCTCAAGCTCCTGCAGGATGCCGAAACACCTGGTGGATGAGATGGAAATGCAAAGTAGCTTAAATATTTTAATTCACTTTGCTCAGAGAGTCAGAATATGCAACTATGTAGTCATAAACTGAATATATAGCCTGCATCAGATATTTTCTCCTAACATGTTCTTCAGTAAATGGTCCCCAAACAGCTTTAAATACCTGTCAGCCGAAATTTAGAATAGCTTAAGAGCTTATCTAGTGGCTCCAATCAATACCTGTAGTGGCCTGACAAAAAACTTGTTTTTTCTTTGTTGAAATCCAAATATCAAGGACAATATGTGTGATAGAGACTTTGTAGTAAATATACACATATATTACTTGACGGTCTGGTTTTCAGTATGTGTTCTTGGGACCAGTAACTGTGTCAATTTTCTTAGCACAGGGAAGAGAGTGGTAAACATGTAATTAAGTTTTTCTCTTACTTTTCCCTGAATCAAATATTTAAAAAGCAGATATTAGGTGAGATATTATCCTATAATCCCAAACCTTGTGGTTTGCTACACTCATGCTGTTAACTTCAATGCATCTTCCATGTGTTCTATTTTTCTACTATATATTCCTGCACAATCCTTTCATCCATTAAAACCAAACCAAGCAACAAACAAAAAACATTGATAAATGCCATAGCCAACCATGTTGTTGCACTTAAAAAGCGGGAGTCCTATTATGGTTTTTTGACCTAAGCCCAACCTTAACCATTGTCATAAATACTCTAGCTATTAGCAATATGACTACCCTATGGTCTCTTAATCCAAGAGTGTATAAATTTCTCTTAAAAAAACTGCAATGCTATGAACAAACAAAACAAAACAGAAAAGATTAGGCCTTTGCAATATTGTAAATATATATATTTTATAATCTATAGAATTGATTTTATGTGTTGGTAGCATCTATAGAATAAATATATATATAGATATATTTATAGAATAAACATATTTATTCTATCAAATAGAATATATATATAGAATATATAATTATTCTATAGATGGTACAACTCATACACTATTACACATTATTTATGTACCTAATATACATACATTGTACTTAATATATGCTATTATATAACTTATGCATTATCAAAAACTAGACACCTCAGAGAGAAAAATATTCTACTACATTTTTATGCCAATTGAGTAGATTATCATGCACAGGTCACTGGCCTCACCTACCATAGCTATGATCTATAAAATCATGAGAAATTTATGATCTGCTGCCTGGCAGTTGAACAAATCAGAGTAAGAGAAGTTTTGCCCTGTTAATTGCAATCTGAAATTTAAAAAAAATTTCCTGCTATCTCAGATTGACTTTACAATAAAATTACCAATAAAAATAATTTTGTTTTTAATTTGGACCATCTGGTGGCTTATTTATTATGCATATCATATTGATGTGGAAATGCATTCAGAAGTTTACATATTAGAACTACATACACATATCTGGAACATGATACTTTTTAATCTGATATTTGTCTGTTAAAAATAAACATATATCTCTTACATGTTATTATTTTGCAATTCACATCCCTAACATTTTTTTAGAAAAAATGGACCATAGCATCAAGCAGTCATTTTTTTTTTTTTTTTTTGAGATGAATTCTCACTCTGTCGCCCAGGCTGGAGTGCAGTGGCGTGATCTTGGCTCACCGCAATGCAACCTCCGCCTCCCAGGTTCAAACAATTCTCCTGCCTCAGCCTCCTGAGTAGCTGGGACTATAAGCGCATGCCACTATGCCCAGCTAATTTTTTTTGTTTTGTTTTGTTTTGTTTTGTATTTTTGGTTGAGACAGGGTGTCACCATGTTGGCCAGGCTGGTCTTGATCTCCTGACCACGTGATTCGCCTGCCTTGGCCTCCCAAAGTCCTGGGATTACAGGCATGAGCCACTTCGCCCGGCCAAGAGGTAATCTTTAACATTACTTTCGTTTTTGAATTGTCAGTCAGAATATTATTAGTTTTGACTAAAATTATGCTAAAATACATGCCACCTTTTCTATCGTCTCAAAGAACTTTACATATTTTTTATTTTTTAGAGACAATGTCTTTCTCTGTCACCCAGGCTAGAGTGCAGTGGCAGATCATAGCTCACGGCATCCTGGAACTCCTGGGCTCAAGTGATTCTCTCACCTCAGCCTCCTGAGTAGCTAGGACTACAGGCACACATCACTATGCTTGACTAATTATTTTTAAATTATTTGTAGAGACAAGTTCCCACTATGTTGTCTAGGCTGGGCTTGAACTCCTGGCCTCAAGTGATCCTTCCCCCTTGATTTCCCAAAGCACTCGTATTACAGACATGAGACACTGCACTCAGCCTGGAAGAGTTTTAATGAATATACTCAGCCTGGAAGAGTTTTCATGAAGAGTGTAATGAATAACATTGATTCAATTACAACTTTAGAAATTATTGATATACAGGGTTAAATGAGGTAATTTTGCCATTTTGCCTAGTCGTTAAGCAATGGGTTGCATAAGGTTTCACAAGATCTCTGGTTACTTAATGCCTGTAATATAATACAAATTGGAAAATACATGAAGAATGAATAAATTAATGAGTGTCAAATGAAAGAATCATTTAATTAATTCTGTTTTGTGGACCCAGGCCAGTTACAGAGGGCAAAATGCATGAAATAAAGGAAAAATCAATGAGTCTCTTGGTTAGGACTTGAGTTTATTTCAGCCAGATTTCTAATATTTTCTAATATTTCTAATATTTTCAGTCTTAATCCAGATTAAGTAAAACAATTCAAACAAACAAAAATGCCTGAGGAAAATTTTATGAGGTACTGCTATATTTGGAGAAGCAGCATAACCCCAGGAAGAAAAATTTTAAAAGGGAGAAAAATGAGCAGAGGAATGAGGAACTCAAGTGTAAGATGGCACAGAAGTGGCCTTCCAACTTTTTGAAAGGAGCAAAAGCATTTCCGGAAAGACCATATGAACCCAGGACAGTTTAGAAAAGTTGATGGAAGAGAGGTGAATGAGAACGTTTTCTTCTGGCTCTTCCCAGTCTCCCATCTCCTAAATTTGTCCAAGGGGCATTGACCCATCAACACAATGATGTTACTGGGCCCTTCTAGACAGACTTTGGCATAGCCAGATTTTTGTTTTTTCTAGATGTGTCAGACTTAGGCTGAGAGCTATGGCCTCCCATTCTAACAGGCCCAGTGGATGCCATGTCTAAGCCCCGTCCACATCTCTGGGGAAGGTTAAAAAACCAGCAGTGTGGCAGTGTGTGGTGGTGAGTAACACAGGTGGCAGCCAAGATTTCACAACCACAGGTAAGGTAACTTTACCATCTAGAAAACACCCACAGGTGACTGAAACCTGGCTTGGTAATTGAAACTGAATGCATAGAGGGAGACACATAAATTGGTTCTAGAATATTCTGCCATATTAGATCTTAGAAACCACTCTTCATATTTCCGATACATTTCTGTTGTTTTCATTGTCAACTTTTTGAGCTTGGCTTTTGAATTTTCTAGAAAATAAAAAAAAAAAATTTATTAAGCAAATAATATGTGATGAATATTATAGCAAGAACTTAGAAAACGTTAATTAAATTCTTGCCTCAAGCCCCTATTAGATTGATAGTTTTTATATCATGTTAAAAATGATATAACTAAGATATAAAATTTTAAGTTATATGCTCAAGGTTAGTAGTTTATAATTTTTGACACCAAGATTTATACCTAGAACTTCTGAATACAAGACTAGACCATGTTTTAAATTCAGTATCATGATAACAAAATTCAGTATCAGGATAACAAAAACAAAAACTGTTTGATGTAAGGATTTTGGGTCATTTTAAGTAAGAGAGAAATTGTTTAGACTTGTAAGTTTATTAATATATTTAAATTTTAGGCAGTAAATTATATTTAGCCTCAGATACAATTTTAAAAAGTGATACAGTTGGTTGATTACAATGGCATCATAAAAATATAGCAATTATTTTACAGATAAAGGTAGGGTGGGGTGGTGCAGATGATAGTAATTTTCTGTGTTCCAGTCAACAAGAGGAAGAGCTGCAATTACAAGATAAAAGCACCTAATCAATGTTTGGAGTCTGATGTTATCTATATCCTACTCTAACATTATTAATATATATTTTTTGAGAATGATAAGATATATTTTACTTTGGTTCTCAGGGGCAATTATAGTATCTTTCGATAATATGAATGTTGTGCTAGGTTGTTTTCATAAATAGTTCTGTTACTTGCTAATATGTCTTATTGCCTATTAAAATGATAAAATAATCACCAAAAGCACAAAATAATCTGTTTATGAATCTTTGCATACGTATGTTTGTATGTGTGTTTTAATAGAAAATAAATCAAATAATAAATTCACTTATAAAATGAGCCATTTGAGTGATAAAGCAGATGTACACTTTGCTCCACCTTGACACGGATATCTGGAATCAGTAGCCAAGACTTCTTGAGAATTTCTAAGGCTTTCCAGGGAGCCAATATGGAAAACAACCTGAAAAAAAAGTAAATGTCACACCTTCTGTAGTTAACGATATCGAAAGTAATTGCTTAAAATAGATGAAAGTGTCCAACATTGTAAATTTTAGTCTCGTGACTGTTCACATTTTATGTATTTATTTCATTAAGTGGTACAAACATTTCCACTATATGCCATGAGAAGCAATTGTAGACAATGTGTATTTATGACACAATGATTATTAGAGTTATTAGAAGCTAAAAAGTGCCACAATAATTATGGCAATAAAAAATTAGATACTTGATTTACAGTCGTTAAATAAAAAGGTAAATGTTTTAAACAGTAACAAAGAAGGAATTATAAGCAATAAAATACATTATTTAAAAAGCTCAACTCTGCATTATTGTGTCTTCTTCATAAATAATTAGAAAAAAAATCCACACATCTGTTAGCTTATTTAAGCACTGTACTGAGACTCTATTGGTAGTTGAAAACTATTGATACTTTGTTTCATTTTGTTTTAAATTCAAAATGAATTAACTGTATATAACATTAGCAATCTAAGCACATTTTTTAGAGTTTTAAAAAGCACGTTTATGTCTTTTATTAACGTTCATATAAAATTTTGATTACCTAACACAAAACAATACTGCCTTCCTCAGAATAAACCCTGGGGAGTTAAGGTTGTATTTAATCCTCAAAGTGTTCATTGTGTTCATTGTATTCAATGTGTTCATTGTGAACTGATTCAGTGGTTCCAGCTTCTCACTGAAGCCCAACAACTACCAGCAGAGATGAAAATTACAATCACTCGAAATACTGTCAGAGCCCCTCTCCTGGAACACACATGCAAAAAGCCAGCCAATGGCATACTGGGAATCTTAAAAATGTGCATGCCTCCACGTCATGCAAAGCTAGATCCAGAGTGATTTATGATTTTATCAGACTTTTGTCTTAAAACATTTAGCCAATTCAAGATAGATAATATTTTATGTTTTATGTGTGCAGAAAAAAATATTCAGTACTTTAAGTTCAGGAGTATAACAAAAAAAGCCTAAGGAGATATTGAGGTCTTAATTATAATTAGTAATTATCCTGTGATTAAACTTAAATTGTTATACACCTGTTTCAATAAACATTATACAGAATTATTATGGGCTCTTTGATTTTTAAGTAAAGAATATAATAAATGAAATACAGATTGCCCCCCATGGGTATAATGGTTTTTGATACAAATATAAATTAGAAAAAAGTCAGTCTTCATGTAATGTTCATAAAAGAAGATTAAAACGTTGCCAGACTATTACTTCGTAAGTTCAGTTTTTCAAAAATAAGTACTTGGAAAGTTAAAAAAAATCTTATAGGTATTTCAAAATCACTATATTCAACAAGTATATAAAGTGTTTGGAATTTTATGAAAAAAGCAAAATTAATGAAATAGAAAATAAACTGGATTTTTATATATAATGTTAAGAAATTTTGACATTTAAATATCAGAAGATATAAGGTGAGTTTACTATGTTTTTGCCTTTTACATGTCTACTTGTTCTGTAAAAATAAAATATACTTTTTTTTTGCTTGAATTTGTGCCTTAACCATTAAAAACGGGAGTTTGAAGAATGATTAGGTGTTTTTTCCTTTACTCAAATTACTTAAATTGTCATTTAAGTATCTATTCAATTAGTTTTGAGTTATAATAAAGTACTTTGTGCTTTGCTTGATTCTCTAAGGTGGAACTTGGTTAGGGATGCTGTGCTCATGATTAAATCTTTTATTTGCAAAATCTTTGAAACCCTTAAGGCAATGAGAATATTTTAGGAAATCATACTGTTTTAAAATAGGATTTCAGAGAAAATATTAATTTTTAAGGGATGAAATGATAGAGTATAACATATTTGTGCTTCTCTCTTTTAAAACATACCTGGGAATTTCTAATAACCTAAGTCCAGAAACACAAAGGGTTTGGACACTAACTTTTCAAGTATGCGGAAACCAAGTGATACAGTTGGTTTCATCTTCTGACTTTTCCTATATAATATGAAGCAACATGTCCACCTGGAAACTAGCCCTAAATTGCAGACATAGAAAATAAGAGGAAACAATAAGTCTCAAAGGTGAATGCTTCACAAGCTGCACGCGATTTTGGTGATGGCAAATATCATGGAAATATTTTTAAAATAGCACTTCCCAATTCTCTATGAATAACAAAATTATCTCATCTTCCCATGGCTGGCAAAATTACTAGAATATAAGAGTCATGACTCCAGTATTTTAAATGTTTGGGTGGAGGTTTAGATGTTGCATAGGTAAATATTAAGAACAACAGTAATGAGAAAAGTCGTACTGTGAAGTATCGGCTCTACCGGTATTATAAGCATGGTAGTCAGCACAGACTAGAGACCGGTCTTTGAAAGTGCGACATGGGCATATAACGCGTGAGGTGATAACATAATACACTAGGCGAATGAAAATGCAAATATGGAGGGGTATGCAAAAACCAGCATAGAGAGACTGTACAGAATTTGATGTCCTTCTTACCTGAGGACAGTGATAGAAATAGAATAGATAGAATAAATAGATAGAATAAATAGATAGAAATAGATAAATAGATAAACAGTGATAGAAAAGTCAACCCTAGATATTTTCAGTCTACCATTTAAATATCTCCAAATGAATGCTATGCATGCACGAGAAGAGGCTTTACAAATGAGGATGTTTACAGTAGAGTACACTCTGGTGACGGCTCTTCCAAACTCCCAAACCAAGGTTTAGAGAGTGAATGGCAAAACTCAAGTGTCTATGTCCACAGGCAGACCTTGATTCGTGAATTTAAGTTAGTCACACAGTGCTGACCAGCATCTGACCCAATTGTGAGATAGAGCGGATTAATGCTTATACCGGCCATAAACTTCAGTCAGCGTCATCAATAGGTTAAACAGCTATCAGTAAAACTAGTAATATTCCCATAGTACAACGACAATATAGTTGTTTATTCCAAAGACCCCATCTAGGAGAGGTGTAACTCTTAGACAGCAGGACATTCTCACAAGACACATTAAGTCACATACTGAACTCTCACCCCATAACCAGATACTATCTTGAAAGGAAGGGCACTTTATGCTAAAGATCAGATATCAGGGACACTGAAGATTTTCCTAGAGATTGAATTTCATTTGTTGCATAGAAAGCTCATAGTGTTAAAGGCTTACATGACACACCATATAGTATTGGAGATTCCACCAAGAAGGTGCTGATTTTTGAAAAAGATAAAGTAATTTACAGGAAAAAAAATAGACATATTTCCTCCGCACATGTGATTTTTAGTGGAAATAAATTTGTGACTTTCAGAATTCATTAATAGTTTGAGAGTTAATCTAATAGAAAAATGCCATTTTGTATACAATCTGTTGTGATTACCAATTTTATTAAATTATATGCTTAAATAGTTTTTCATACTCAAATCTCCACTTTATTTTTTTTTCTGTTTACTTGGTCCAAAACTGAGGCTGTTATAAATAAGGGAATCATTTCAAACCAATTGCTTTATCTTTTTTTGTCATATTGCTAGGATACAATGTTTTCTGTATTAGGATATGTATACAGATACGCCATCCGGCTACTGCCCACTTCTTCTCTTTCAATATTTTTTTACACCTATCAAAATTCTCATTTGATTCACATAATTCTACGAGTTGATTTTAGTCACCAGGTGATAAATCCAACAGTCAATCACAGTTATAAATAAATCGAGTGTTCTCATTTTCTTTCCACTTCAATAATTGCTTCTTATTCTCTTCACTGCACCTTCCATATCCTTGACCTTCAAAGTTTGTTTTTTAAGTTGGGCTTTTTATTATTTTTTACCTTCTACAAATAACATATAAATCTCATGAGGACAAACAGTTATGCGTGTTTTGTTTATTTTCATACTTTATCTTGCAGAAGAGTTTGTGGTACCTTGTACATATTCAAGAAATATTTTTGATGTAATGAATAAATGAAAGTAGTGAATGGCTTGCCTTCAGGACATTGTTATATTGAAAAGAAGGCACATGTGATGGCAGGTTATCCCATGCTCCCTTCTATGCTAATAACAATTGGGTTTGTTTTGTTTACTTTTTTGTTCGTTTGAGACAGGGTCTTGCTCTGTTGCTCAGGCTAGAGGGCAGTGGCACCTTCATGGCTCATTGCAGCCTCAACCTCCCAGGCTCAAGCAATCCTCCTACTTCAGCCTCCTGAGTATCTGGGACTGCAGGTGCGCACCACCATGCTTGGCTTTTTTTTTTGTAGATACGGGGTCTCAATATGTGGCCCAGGCTGGTCTTGAACTCTTGGACTCAAGTGACCCTCCCACCTCAGCCTCCCAAAGTTCTGAGATTACAGGCATGAACTACCACACCCAGTGCAACAATTGCTTCTATTTTGTTTTTTAAAAGCCAGTCTAACATTCCTGTTTTATGTTAGCTGAAAGGATTTACTCAGAAATGAGGAAAATTATAACAGGAAACTTTAGTATGTATTCCTGAATTTTCTTAAATTATATTTACTCATCATTGAATAAGTAGCATAAACTAAATCCATAATTAAATAGCTGGGTACATCAATTCCAAAGTAAACATCCATATGCCTTTACCTCATGGAATATTTGTAGAATGTCAGAACAAGCATGTGGCTATTTCATAACCAAATTTTCTCAACAGTGTCATCATTACTTCATTTGCTGCCATATTTATAGCAGAAAATTTCATCTTCACAGTTAATTTCTGAAAAACTTTCAAAAGTAGAACAAATCAAAATGATCTTAATATTACGTATATGCACACACCCATTTAATTTGGTTTCACATTCTAGAGAGGTCCTGGAATCTTTATTCTGTGAGCATTCTGGGGATTTAAACTGAATGCAGTTTGCCTTATGATTATTAGTTTGATAAAACAAGATGAAAATGTTCACATATTTCAACTATGTTTGTTACTTCACTTAAACTATTGATTTTATTAAATGTTAGTCATTCCGTGGAACTAAAAAATCAAACAAACATATTTTAAAATAAACAAATACATTTTCTGGTTCATATTGGAAGTCCACAATTTCCCATTTTTTCCTATATGTTGTATGCTAGTTAAAAACACTTTGATGGTGCACAGACAAAAACAATGTTACATTTAAGAGAGTTACTTTGATTTTCTTAGCACATCAGAATATGTATCAATTCTTGAATTTGAAAAATGCAGTTAGATAATTGATAAAAATGAAAATTGCATTTGAAAAACTCACCCATAATGAAGCTTAGAAATTTAGGAACTGGAAGAAGTAATTTTATTGTTGTGTGTTAACTGCAATTAAATTTTAGTCAATGTTAAATGCCTGCAAAATTCTAGTCCAAATTGGGAGAGTGTATTTTTTCAAAATTTGTTACCTATAGTTACTTCTAGACTTCCACAGACCAAAGATCAGCTTGACATAAGGTTATAGTTGACTAAGCATAACAATGAGCTTGAGTATAAGTGGAATGCCCTTATGGTTACAAGCAAGAATGACCCACCTTTTCTGACATTTACTGCCTTCTATGGTTTTGTAAGCCTTTCTTCTCTGCTGGGTTTCTTTGCAGCAGATACAGAGTAAAATTTCCCAAGTGATTATTTCTTTTTTGAACTGATACTATAAAAGAGCAACTTTCTTTTTTTTTTTAAGTGCCATGAGTTTTTAACACACAGGCAATGCTGAAAACATAAATGTCTCTGCAGAAGTCATATTCTCATGCCCTTTATTGGTATACATCGGCATCCCAGGAAATGTAAATAATAGAAGGGCAGTAAAGACTTAGACATTCTCAAAGTACAAATGCACCCTGCTAGCAACTTGTTTTCTATGTTACTGAAGAATAAGACTAAGTGGAGAAAAGGCATGTGGAGAATCAGGCACTCTTAGAATTTAAAGTGGAATAAAACGTAATAGTAAGACAAGATAATAAAATGTCCACTGATACGCTAGAAATTGCCATTTATTTCTTAAATGATCATAATCTTTGATAACATATCTTAGTGGTAGATAATAAAATATAATTTCTTTTTAAAATCACATGGTGATCGTATATGTATTTGCATAGATGTTCAAATGTCCATAAATCTAATTAGAAATATATTTAATAAAATTAATTTTCAATTTGGTATGTAATAAAAATAAGGTTTATTTGTTTAAATTGACTATTACAAATAGGTTTTCATATTATTTATTTTTCTTTATATGCATTTTTAAACTAATTATGAAAATAGTATGCTAATAGAATTAAACATTTAGATCAGAAAGATAAAAGTCTACTCTCTTTATTTTCATTTTTTTTTTTATTTAATTTTATTTTGAGATGGAGTCTCACTCTGTCACCAGGGCTGGAGTGCAGTGGCAGGATCTCGGCTCACTGCAACCTCTACCTCCCAAGTTCAAGCGATTCTCCTGCCTCAGCCTCCCGAGTAGCTGGGATTACAGGCGCCTGCCACTATACCCAGCTAACTTTTTGTATTTTTAGTAGAAATGGAGTTTCACCATGTTGGCCAGGCTGATCTCAAACTCCTGACCTCGTGATTTGCCCGCCTCGGCCTCCCAAAGTGATGGAATTACAGGTGTGAGCCACCCGCCCAGGCTATTTTTATTTTTATTTTAAGTTCTGGGATACATGTGCAGATCCTGTAGGTTTATTACATAGGTATATATGTGCCACGCTGGTTTGCTGCACCTATCAACCGGTCATCTAGGTTTTAAGCCCTGCATGCATTAGGAAAAGTCCCCTCTCTTTCCCCATCTTTACTTTTAGTCACATTGTTCAGAAACAATCACATTTAATTATATATTTCTGTTCTTAATACTTTTGGTTGTCACATCATTTCTAAATAATATGCAAATTCCATTTTTAAAAATTTATCGGATGTAGACTTTTTTTCATGTCACTTCTATCTTTATGATATCACTATTTTTGTAATGATTACTTCTGGAATGTAAGACCACATACCAAAAGTTCCATACTCACATTGTCAATAACAGAAACATATAATTTTTCCCCATTTTATAGAATAAAAATAAAAGTCTTTCTGCCCTTCTATTTCTTTTATCTCTCACATTTAAACCTCTATCAGTTAAGAAAAAAAAAAGTTTATATTGTCAATGGGGACCTATTTACATCTACTAATGATAAAACTTAAGTATTTTGAGATTTATCTTTAAATTTAAAAAATTATAAACCAATAAGCAGCATCAAATAATTTTGATAATGCAAATATTGTTCAATGAAGCATCAGGTGGTTTCTTACAACATTTTATATCTGATCCAGTCCGCTAATCCACTCAAAGGAAAGTTTTCCTAACATCAAGGTGAAATTGATTCTTTTAAAAATTAATTTTCTAGCATTCAAAATCATGCTGTGATTTTTGCTTATATAAGAAACGTGTCTTACTTTGCATGGTTTTGAGCTTCTAGAAACTTTTTCATTCATTCTACACCTTTACAACTCATAATCCTACATCTTTATCATATCCACATTTTCTTTTTCCTTGAAGTCTTCTTCCTCAGGTCACCATTGTTCTGGTCCAAAGTAACCTTTTTATATTCTAGGATTTCCCTGTAGCTGCTTATCCGGAAATTCCCTGTAGTTGCTTATCCAGAAAAATCCGGAAATGTTCCTCTGGAACATCTCCCTGTGAGGTTCTCTCAGAACCTTCATAGTTCTGCTGGTTCCTGGATCTATGTCTTTCTCCTTTTGGGCTTTGCTCTTCATTTGACTTGCCTAATCTCTAATAGAATATCCTGAAGGAAAAATAAAAAACAAACAACATCAACAAAACCAACTTTAGAGATAATATTCCTGAAGGTTTTTGTATCTGAACTATCTTTTTTCTGTAGTCATACTTGATTGGTAAGTTGGCTAGATAGAGAATGCAAAGTTGGAAACTATTTTCTTAAGATCTGAAAGGGTACTATCCACTCTTCTTTTAGCATCCAGAGGTCTCATAACAAACTGATTTTTCTTCTTTGCAAGTGGCTAGGTTCTTCTCTGGAAGACAAGTTTCTTGTAAGTCTTAGGGTTTAAGACTCACAATGTTTTGGAGCTTTTTCCTACTAATACTGAACAGTATTTTTGAGAAATATCAATTTTAAGACGTGTTCATTTCAACAACATGTCATTTTATTTTATTATTTGTTTGATTACTTCTTCCTCTCCATTTCTCCACTCAATTTGTCTGAAGCCCTTAACATTTAATTGTTGGATTTTGAATATCATTTTTCTATGGCATTTATCTATAATCTAATTTATTTGTTTTATTTTTTGTTGTTTATTTTGTCATTAATTTTTATATTTAAAATTTTCAGATTTATTTTTGTTGTTGACAATACTATTATCCTTTACTTTTTTCTCTTCTGGAATTGGTCTTTTTTCCTACTAAAATTAAAAATTTTGATTAATATTTGAATTGGCCTGTTTTAGCACAGTTTTCTTTTCTTTGACTTCAAAGTCTACTCAAAATCTTCAAGGACAATAATTAAAATTTATCTTTTGATTTATTTGCTCATGTTGTTAATATTTTCTAAATGCCCTAAATCATCAAAATAAACTGAAGTTTTATTTTTCTTTTCTCTTTCTTTTTCTAAGTATATCTTTCTCTGTCATATTGCAGACTTTTCAAGTGTTCAGTAATGTCGATTTACCCAGAGATATTTGTAAATGAAACTCCACAAATTTTCCACAAACACACAAATAATCAGTTTGTCAACTAGCTGTCTTTGCCTTTAGAAGAGCAGATGAGGAGCCAGCAATGACAATGAAGGATACATATATTGAAGAACACAAAACTTTGTTCTTTGGGGATCTGTGACAGATCTTTTGTTTGTTCTTCCAACTCTACTCTAGACCCTACAGCTGCTATTTCTGTCTAAGCTCATGCTAGTTCCTGTATGCCCGTCTCCCTTTACTCCTTCAGGTTTCCAAGTGACCAAGTGATAATAGCTCCCTACTTGTTAGACCCAGATAGTTCAGTATCCTTAAATGATTTCCATCTATCCTGTGTGTACCTTTGTATATAGTCCCTTCATTACGCTTTCCTCAGTTACTCTGGTGGAATGCACCACAGGTTTCAAAAGAGCTGCCATCATTCTACTAAAATAACTAAGTCAATTTTTGAAGGCAATAATCTTATTTTTTGTTGCTGTTATTGTTTAGTTTTTGGATTTGGGATTAAATATCTGGCTACAAGCCATCCTACAATACAGATATTCATCTTACCCTTAATTTGCAACTTCACTTTGTTCCTCTTTTTGTCTATAACACATGCATTCTTAAAGAATGGACCCTTGGAAGTTATACAGTTAGTTTTGCTCCATGTTGGCATCAGCACTCTCAGAAACTTTTTCTTACTTTGCTCCTGCAATAATTTTTTGGAGTCTCAGGAGGAGAACCCATAATTATATTTTTTTCTATTTGCCTAACTGAACCAAAAATTTCTCTTCTTCCAGTCTGATTTAAATAGAAATGTAGAATCAATTCTATTTTTGAATTGATTCAAAAGTTAATTATTTTAAATTATTACTAAATAAAATATATAAAACACTTATGAGTTATGAAATTTAATCTCCATAAAAATGTATTCTCTGGGAATTCTTATTTCTACCTCTTCCTTTTAGTCCTAACCCAGTTAGCTCTTATTAGAAACAATTTTTATTAGTTTTTCATTAATTATTACAGTGTTTCTTATTGCAAAAATAAACAAATATATATTTTACATAAATACAAATATCTATATTTATAGTTGTGCCTTTTCCATTTTTTTACTACTACATCTTCGAAATCACTTTCTATTGGTTTATAGGTTTTATTTGTTGTCATGTATATGTTATAGTTTCAATATTCTCTTATGTAGATATACCATATTGTATTCAACGTTTCACTTATTGGGCAATTAGGTTGTTTACAATGTTTTGTTTTATAAAACAAACTAGAAATATGATTGCTGAGTCAAATTACAAATTGTTATATATAGAAAGATAATCTTGTTAGATAACAAATTCATCTCTGAAGGAGTTGTGTGATTTTAACTCGCACAAGTTCCTGAACAGAGTGTGTTGTCTAAATTTTGGATTTGTGACAATCTTATAAGTGAGAAATGATATTTTATAATATTAATTTGAATTTCTCTTATGAGTGATCCTGAACATCTTTCATATTTTAAGGGTCATGAGAATAACTATCAAGAGAAAAATAAGTAGAAAGCAAATAATACATGAAACAAATTGTTAAAATTGCTGGTGATGTTTAATCATGGAGAAGTTTTTATGAAATACTGTTAAACAATAAAATCCTTGGAGTAAAAAATAATTCTCAGTCTTTTCTTTTTTTTCTTTTTTAGAGACAGAGTCTTGCTCTGTCGCCCAGGCTGGAGTGCAGCCGCGCGATCTCGGCTCACTGCAAGCTCCACCTCCCGAGTTCACGCCATTCTCCTGCCTTAGCCTCCTGAGTAGCTGAGACTACAGGTGCCCGCCACCACGCTCGGCTAATTTTTTTGTATTTTTAGTAGAGACGGGGTTTCACCGTGTTAGCCAGGATGGTCTCGATCTCCTGACCTCGTGATTCCCCTGCCTTGGCCTCCCAAAGTGCTGGGATTACAGGCGTAAGCCTGTAATCTTGAATGTCTCAGCCTTTTCTTGAATGTTTTTAAGAATGTGATGATCACTGTAGATCCTCCCTTGAAATGTGAAGATACAAGCAGAAATAATGTTAGTATTTGTCATGAGTTGTTGTTTAATCTATTAAAATAAATTTATAAATGTCTTCTGAATGTAAAAGCCTATAATATAATGGTATTAAACATACATGTACATATCTGACATACATGTACACATACCTTTACCTGTGTATGAATTTACAAACAATAAAAAGTTTAAACTAAAATGTTAACTATGATTATCTTTAAGGTATTAGGGTCAAAGAGAATTTTCACATTTTACTTACATCTTTATGTATTTTCTGATTTTCTGACAATGAACAGTAAAGTAAACCTTACTTTAACTATAACCTGCCTAAATTTTCTATAGTACCCATTGTCCTAAAATACCCTATACTGGGCATAGAAACACTAACACAATGGATAAAAAATTAAAATTAAATTAAATATTGGACACTTACAAATGGGCATAACAAAATGAGACCTCATAAATCCCCAAGAAAAAAATGGTTAATTTGGCCTAACATAAATTAACATAAAGCCTTCAAAAATCAAAAGTTAATGAGATCTAAAATGAATAAATGAATGATTATCCCCAAACCTTCCCTGTTTGATAGCTCAATGTTTTCTGTTCTGAAACCTAAAATTAAATAAATAATAAATTGAGCCTCACAGTAGCTTATAGAATCCATTAACGGTTCCATAACTCAATAAGAAATATTATTAAAATTACTAGCTCAATCCAATCAACCACTGACAAATATTTTGTCATTATACATTTGGCTAATATGTTCTATTGAGTCCCTATTTCAACAGCTGCTTAGCCATAATTTTTCTTCACCTCTGAATAGACAGGATATATCTTTAATAGACTACAATATTCTAAGCCTTAATCTCTCTTATTTAATTTAAGCTTCCTTGCCGATTCACACCTTACATCAACTTTTTTTATTTTTATTTTTTTTTATTTTTTTTTATTATACTCTAAGTTTTAGGGTACATGTGCACATTGTGCAGGTTAGTTACATATGTATACATGTGCCATGCTGGTGCGCTGCACCCACTAATGTGTCATCTAGCATTAGGTATATCTCCCAATGCTATCCCTCCCCCCTCCCCCGACCCCACCACAGTCCCAGAGTGTGATATTCCCCTTCCTGTGTCCATGTGATCTCATTGTTCAATTCCCACCTATGAGTGAGAATATGCGGTGTTTGGTTTTTTGTTCTTGCGATAGTTTACTGAGAATGATGGTTTCCAATTTCATCCATGTCCCTACAAAGGATATGAACTCATCATTTTTTATGGCTGCATAGTATTCCATGGTGTATATGTGCCACATTTTCTTAATCCAGTCTATCATTGTTGGACATTTGGGTTGGTTCCAAGTCTTTGCTATTGTGAATAGTGCCGCAAAAAACATACGTGTGCATGTGTCTTTATAGCAGCATGATTTATACTCATTTGGGTATATACCCAGTAATGGGATGGCTGGGTCAAATGGTATTTCTAGTTCTAGATCCCTGAGGAATCGCCACACTGACTTCCACAATGGTTGAACTAGTTTACAGTCCCACCAACAGTGTAAAAGTGTTCCTATTTCTCCGCATCCTCTCCAGCACCTGTTGTTTCCTGACTTTTTAATGATTGCCATTCTAACTGGTGTGAGATGATATCTCATAGTGGTTTTGATTTGCATTTCTCTGATGGCCAGTGATGATGAGCATTTCTTCATGTGTTTTTTGGCTGCATAAATGTCTTCTTTTGAGAAGTGTCTGTTCATGTCCTTCGCCCACTTTTTGATGGGGTTGTTTGTTTTTTCTTGTAAATTTGTTTGAGTTCTTTGCAGATTCTGGATATTAGCCCTTTGTCAGATGAGTAGGTTGCGAAAATTTTCTCCCATGTTGTAGGTTGCCTGTTCACTCTGATGGTAGTTTCTTTTGCTGTGCAGAAGCTCTTTAGTTTAATTAGATCCCATTTGTCAATTTTGTCTTTTGTTGCCATTGCTTTTGGTGTTTTGGACATGAAGTCCTTGCCCACGCCTATGTCCTGAATGGTAATGCCTAGGTCTTCTTCTAGGGTTTTTATGGTTTTAGGTTTAACGTTTAAATCTTTAATCGATCTTGAATTGATTTTTGTATAAGGTGTAAGGAAGGGATCCAGTTTCAGCTTTCTACATATGGCTAGCCAGTTTTCCCAGCACCATTTATTAAATAGGGAATCCTTTCCCCATTGCTTGTTTTTCTCAGGTTTGTCAAAGATCAGATAGTTGTAGATATGCGGCATTATTTCTGAGGTCTCTGTTCTGTTCCATTGATCTATATCTCTGTTTTGGTACCAGTACCATGCTGTTTTGGTTACTGTAGCCTTGTAGTATAGTTTGAAGTCAGGTAGTGTGATGCCTCCAGCTTTGTTCTTTTGGCTTAGGATTGACTTGGCAATGCGGGCTCTTTCTTGGTTCCATATGAACTTTAAAGTAGTTTTTTCCAATTCTGCATTTCCATCTGAGGTACCGGGTTCATCTCACTAGGGAGTGCCAGACAGTGGGCTCAGGCCAGTGTGTGTGCGCACCATGCGCGAGCCGAAGCAGGGAGAGGCATTGCCTCACCTGGGAAGCGCAAGGGTTCAGGGAGTTCCCTTTCCGAGTCAAAGAAAGGGGTGACGGACGCACCTGGAAAATCGGGTCACTCCCACCCGAATATTGTGCTTTTCAGACCGGCTTAAGAAACGGCGCACCACGAGACTATATCCCACACCTGGCTCAGAGGGTCCTACGCCCACGGAATCTCACTGATTGCTAGCACAGCAGTCTGAGATCAAACTGCAAGGCGGCAACGAGGCTGGGGGAGGGGCGCCCACCATTGCCCAGGCTTGCTTAGGTAAACAAAGCAGCTGGGAAGCTCCAGCTGGGTGGAGCCCACCACAGCTCAAGGAGGCCTGCCTGCCTCTGTAGGCTCCACCTCTGGGGGCAGAACACAGACAAACAAAAAGACAGCAGTAACCTCTGCAGACTTAAGTGTCCCTGTCTGACAGCTTTGAAGAGAGCAGTGGTTCTCCCAGCACGCAGCTGGAGATCTGAGAACGGGCAGACTGCCTCCTCAAGTGGGTCCCTGACCCCTGACCCCCGAGCAGCCTAACTGGGAGGCACCCCCCAGCAGGGGCACACTGACACCTCACACGGCAGGGTATTCCAACAGACCTGCAGCTGAGGGTCCTGTCTGTTAGAAGGAAAACTAACAACCAGAAAGGACATCTACACCGAAAACCCATCTGTACATCACCATCATCAAAGACCAAAAGTAGATAAAACCACAAAGATGGGGAAAAAACAGAACAGAAAAACTGGAAACTCTAAAACGCAGAGCGCCTCTCCTCCTCCAAAGGAACGCAGTTCCTCACCAGCAACAGAAAAAAGCTGGATGGAGAATGATTTTGACGAGCTGAGAGAAGAAGGCTTCAGACGATCAAATTACTCTGAGCTACGGGAGGACATTCAAACCAAAGGCAAAGAAGTTTAAAACTTTGAAAAAAATTTAGAAGAATGTATAACTAGAATAACCAATACAGAGAAGTGCTTAAAGGAGCTGATGGAGCTGAAAACCAAGGCTCGAGAACTACGTGAAGAATGCAGAAGCCTCAGGAGCCGATGCGATCAACTGGAAGAAAGGGTATCAGCAATGGAAGATGAAATGAATGAAATGAAGCGAGAAGGGAAGTTTAGAGAAAAAAGAATAAAAAGAAATGAGCAAAGCCTCCAAGAAATATGGGACTATGTGAAAAGACCAAATCTATGTCTGATTGGTGTACCTGAAAGTGATGTGGAGAATGGAACCAAGTTGGAAAACACTCTGCAGGATATTATCCAGGAGAACTTCCCCAATCTAGCAAGGCAGGCCAACGTTCAGATTCAGGAAATACAGAGAACGCCACAAAGATACTCCTCGAGAAGAGCAACTCCAAGACACATAATTGTCAGATTCACCAAAGTTGAAATGAAGGAAAAAATGTTAAGGGCAGCCAGAGAGAAAGGTCGGGTTACCCTCAAAGGAAAGCCCATCAGACTAACAGCGGATCTCTTCGCAGAAACCCTACAAGCCAGAAGAGAGTGGGGGCCAATATTCAACATTCTTAAAGAAAAGAATTTTCAACCCAGAATTTCATATCCAGCCAAACTAAGCTTCATAAGTGAAGGAGAAATAAAATACTTTATAGACAAGCAAATGCTGAGAGATTTTGTCACGACCAGGCATGCCCTAAAAGAGCTCCTGAAGGAAGCGCTAAACATGGAAAGGAACAACCAGTACCAGCCGCTGCAAAATCATGCCAAAATGTAAAGACCATCGAGACTAGGAAGAAACTGCATCAACTAATGAGCAAATTCACCAGCTAACATCATAATGACAGGATCAAATTCACACATAACAATATTAACTTTAAATATAAATGGACTAAATTCTGCAATTAAAAGACACAGACTGGCAAGTTGGATAAAGAGTCAAGACCCATCAGTGTGCTGTATTCAGGAAACCCATCTCACGTGCAGAGACACACATAGGCTCAAAATAAAAGGATGGAGGAAGATCTACCAAGCAAATGGAAAACAAAAAAAGGCAGGGGTTGCAATCCTAGTCTCTGATAAAACAGACTTTAAACCAACAAAGATCAAAAGAGACAAAGAAGGCCATTACATAATGGTAAAGGGATCAATTCAACAAGAGGAGCTAACTATCCTAAATATTTATGCACCCAATACAGGAGCACCCAGATTCATAAAGCAAGTCCTCAGTGACCTACAAAGAGACTTAGACTCCCACACATTAATAATGGGAGACTTTAACACCCCACTGTCAACATTAGACAGATCAACGAGACAGAAAGTCAACAAGGATACCCAGGAATTGAACTCAGCTCTGCACCAAGCAGACCTAATAGACATCTACAGAACTCTCCACCCCAAATCAACAGAATATACATTTTTTTCAGCACCACACCACACCTATTCCAAAATTGACCACATAGTTGGAAGTAAAGCTCTCCTCAGCAAATGTAAAAGAACAGAAATTATAACAAACTATCTCTCAGACCACAGTGCAATCAAACTAGAACTCAGGATTAAGAATCTCACTCAAAGCTGCTCAACTACATGGAAACTGAACAGCCTGCTCCTGAATGACTACTGGGTACATAACGAAATGAAGGCAGAAATAAAGATGTTCTTTGAAACCAACGAGAACAAAGACACCACATACCAGAATCTCTGGGACGCATTCAAAGCAGTGTGTAGAGGGAAATTTATAGCACTAAATGCCTACAAGAGAAAGCAGGAAAGATCCAAAATTGACACCCTAACATCACAATTGAAAGAACTAGAAAAGCAAGAGCAAACACATTCAAAAGCTAGCAGAAGGCAAGAAATAACTAAAATCAGAGCAGAACTGAAGGAAATAGAGACACAAAAAACCCTTCAAAAAATCAATGAATCCAGGAGCTGGTTTTTTGAAAGGATCAACAAAATTGATAGACCTCTAGCAAGACTAATAAAGAAAAAAAGAGAGAAGAATCAAATAGACACAATAAAAAATGATAAAGGGGATATCACCACCGATCCCACAGAAATACAAACTACCATCAGAGAATACTACAAACACCTCTACGCAAATAAACTAGAAAATCTAGAAGAAATGGATACATTCCTCGACACATACACTCTCCCAAGACTAAACTAGGAAGAAGTTGAATCTCTGAATAGACCAATAACAGGCTCTGAAATTGTGGCAATAATCAATAGTTTACCAACCAAAAAGAGTCCAGGACCAGATGGATTCACAGCCAAATTCTACCAGAGGTACAAGGAGGAACTGGTACCATTCCTTCTGAAACTATTCCAATCAATAGAAAAAGAGGGAACCCTCCCTAACTCATTTTATGAGGCCAGCATCATTCTGATACCAAAGCTGGGCAGAGACACAACCAAAAAAGAGAATTTTAGACCAATATCCTTGATGAACATTGATGCAAAAATCCTCAATAAAATACTGGCAAACCGAATCCAGCAGCACATCAAAAAGCTTATCCACCATGATCAAGTGGGCTTCATCCCTGGGATGCAAGGCTGGTTCAATATACACAAATCAATAAATGTAATCCAGCATATAAACAGAGCCAAAGACAAAAACCACATGATTATCTCAATAGATGCAGAAAAAGCCTTTGACAAAATTCAACAACCCTTCATGCTAAAAACTCTCAATAAATTAGGTATTGATGGGACGTATTTCAAAATAATAAGAGCTATCTATGACAAACCCACAGCCAATATCATACTGAATGGGCAAAAACTGGAAGCATTCCATTTGAAAAATGGCACAAGACAGGGATGCCCTCTCTCACCGCTCCTATTCAACATAGTGTTGGAAGTTCTGGCCAGGGCAATCAGGCAGGAGAAGGAAATAAAGGGTATTCAATTAGGAAAAGAGGAAGTCAAATTGTCCCTGTTTGCAGACGACATGATTGTTTATCTAGAAAACCCCATAGTCTCAGCCCAAAATCTCCTTAAGCTGATAAGCAACTTCAGCAAAGTCTCAGGATACTAAATCAATGTACAAAAATCACAAGCATTCTTATACACCAACAACAGACAAACAGAGAGCCAAATCATGGGTGAACTCCCATTCACAATTGCTTCAAAGAGAATAAAATACCTAGGAATCCAACTTACAAGGGATGTGAAGGACCTCTTCAAGGAGAACTACAAACCACTGCTCAAGGAAATAAAAGAGGACACAAACAAATGGAAGAACATTCCATGCTCATGGGTAGGAAGAATCAATATCGTGAAAATGGCCATACTGCCCAAGGTAATTTACAGATTCAATACATCAACTTTTAAGAAACTTCCCATATCCATTTCCTATACTTAAAGTGTGGGTATACCTCTATAACTAACCTCCATGTGTATACATAATCGTATATAAGGCCTTTTAAAAATGTATTTTCCTATCTGTACAGATTTTTGGTACTGTCCCTAGCCTATACAGGTTAGAGGACAGACCCAGTGTGCATACTTTCCCAAGATCTATTACTCATAAATTGTCCCATAGTCCAGACACCTGCCCATCTGGTATGGAAACCATTTGAGTCTAAATTTCTATCAGCCAGGCCACCTTCCTCAATATTCAGGTTATAAGGGGTAGAAAATAAATCTATGTTTTTCCTCTGATCACCTTCAAAAAATCAAAATTAGTGTTTCAGTGCTACTCTAAAGAAAAAATTGTTAAGGGCAGCCAGAGAGAAAGGTTGGGTTACCCACAAAGGGAAGCCCATCAGAAAAAGAGTGAATCTCTCGGCAGAAACTCTACAAGCCAGAAGAGAGTGGGGGCCAATATTCAATATTCTTTAAGAATTTTCAACCCAGAATTTCATATCCAGCCAAACTAAGCTTCATAAGTGAAGAAGAAATGAAATCCTTTATAGAGAAGCAAATGCTGAGAGATTTTGTGACCACCAGGCCTGCCTTACAAGACTGCCTGAAGGAAGCAATAAACATGGAAAGGAACAACTGGTAGCAGCCACTGCAAAAACATGCCAAATTGTAAAGACCATCGAGGCTAGGAAGAAACTGCATCAACTAACCAGCAAAATAACCAGCTAACATAATGACAGGATCAAATTCACACATAACAATATTAACCTTAAATGTAAATGGGCTAAATGCTCTAATTAAAAGGCACAGACTGGCAAATTGGATAGAGTCAAGACCCATCAGTGTGCTATATTCAGGAGATCCATCTCACGTGCAGAGACACACATAGGCTCAAAATAAAGGGATGGAGGAAGATCTACCAAGCAAATGGAAAACAAAAAAAGGCAGAGGTTGCAATCCTGGTCTCTGATAAAACAGACTTTAAACCAACAAAGATCAAAAGAGACAAAGAAGGCCATTACATAATGGTAACTCGATCAATTCAACAAGAAGAGCTAACTATCCTAAATATGTATGCAACCAATACAGGAACACCCAGATTCAAACAGCAAGTCCTTAGAGATCAACAAAGAGACTTAGACTCCCACACAATAATAATGGGAGACTTTAACAACCCACTGTCAACATTAGACAGATCAAAGAGACCAGAAGTTAACAAGGATATCCAGGAATTGAACTCAGCTCTGCACCAAGTGGACCTAATAGACATCTACAGAACTCTACACCCAAAATCAACAGAATATACATTCTTCTCAGCACCACATCAGACTTATTCCAAAATTGACCACATAGTTGGAAGTAAAGCACTCCTCAGCAAATGTAAAAGAACAGAAATTATAACAAACTGTCTCTCAGACGACAGTGCAATCAAACTAAAACTCAGGACTAAGAAACTCACTCAAAACCACATAACTGCATGGAAACTGAATAACCTGCTCCTGAATGACTACTGGGTGCATAACGAAATGAAGGCAGAAATAAAGATGTTCTTTGAAAGCAATGAGAACAAAGACACAACATACCAGAATCTCAGGGACACATTTAAAGCAGTGTGTAGAGGGAAATTTATAGCACTAAATATCCACAAGAGAAAGCAGGAAAGATCTAAAATTGACACCCTAACATCACAATTAAAAGAACTAGAGAAACAAGAGCAAACACATTCAAATGCTAGCAGAAGGCAAGAAATAACTAAGATCAGAGCAGAACTGAAGGAGATAGAGACACAAAAAAACCCTTCAAAAAATCAATGAAACGAGGAGCTGGTTTTTTGAAAAGATCAACAAAATTGATAGATTGCTAGCAAGACTAATAAAGAAGAAAACAGAGAAGAATCAAATAGATGCAATAAAAAATGATAATGCGGATATCACCACCAATCCCACAGAAATACAAACTACCATCAGAGAATACTATAAATACCTCTATGCAAATAAACTAGAAAATCTAGAAGAAACGGATAAATTCCTAAACACATACACCCTCCAAAGACTAAACCAGGAAGAAGTTGAATCCCTGAGTAGACCAATAACAAGCTCTGAAATTGAGGCAATAATTAATAGCCTACCAACGAAAAAAAGTCCAGGAACAGAGGGATTCACAGCCGAATTCTACCAGAGGTACAAAGAAGAGCTAGTATCATTCCTTCTGAAACTATTCCAATCAATAGAAGAAGAGGGAATCCTCCCTAACTCATTTTATGAGGCCAGCATCATCCTGATACCAAAGCCTGGCAGAGACACAACAAAAAAAAGAGAATTTTAGACCAATATCCCTGATGAACATCGATGCAAAAATTCTCAGTAAAATATTGGCAAGCAGAATGCAACAGCACATTAAAAGCTGATACACCACAATCAAGTTGGCTTCATCACTGGAATGCAAGGCTGGTTCAACATACACAAATCAATGAATGTAATCCATCACATAAACAAAGCCAAAGACAAAAACCACCTGATTATCTCAATAGATGCAGAAAAGGTCTTTGACAACATTCAACAGCCCTTCATGCTAAAAACTTTCAATAACGTAGGTATTGATGGGATGTATCTCAAAATAATAAGAGCTATTTGTGACAAACCCACAGCCAATAGCATACTGAATGGGCAAAAACTGGAAGCATTCCCTTTGAAAACTGGCACAAGACAGGGATGCCCTCTCTCATCACTCCTACTCAACATAGTGTTGGAAGTTCTGCCCAGGGCAATCAGGCAGGAGAAATAAATAAAGGGTATTCAATTAGGAAAAGAGGAAGTCAAATTGTCCCTGTTTGCAGATGACATGATTGTATATTTAGAAAACCCCATCATCTCAGCCCAAAATCTCCTTAAGCTGATAAGCAACTTCAGCAAAGTCTCAGGATACAAAATCAATAGGCAAAAATCACAAGCATTCCTATACACCAATAACAGGCAAGCAGAGAGCCAAATCATGAGTGAACTCCCATTCACAATTGCTTCAAAGAGAATAAAATACCTAGGAATCCAACTTACAAGGGATGTGAAGGATCTCTTCAAGGACAACTACAAACTACTGCTCAACAAAATAAAAGAGGACACAAACAAATGGAAGAACATTCCATGCTCATGGATAGGAGTAATCAGTATCGTGAAAATGGCCATACTGCCCAAGGTAATTTATAGATTCAGTGCCATCCCCATCGAGCTACCAATGACTTTCTTCACAGAATTGGAAAAAACTACTTTAAAGTTCACATGGAACCAAAAAAGAGCCCACAATGCCAAGACAATCCTAAGCAAAAAGAACAAAGCTGGAGGCATCACACTACCTGACTTCAAACTATAATACAAGGCTACAGTAACCAAAACAGCATGGTACTGGTACCAAAACAGAGATATAGACCAATAGAACAGAACAGAGCTCTCAGAAATAATACCACAGATCTACAACCATCTGATCTTTGATAAACCAGACAAAAACAAGAAATGGGGAAACGACTCCCTATTTAATAAATGGTGCTGGGAAAACTGGCTAGCCATATGTAGAAAGCTGAAACTGGATCCCTTCCTTACACCTCATACAAAAATTAATTCAAGATGGATTAAAGACTTACATGTTAGACCTAAAACCATAAAAACCTGAGAAGAAAATCTAGGCAATACCATTCAGGACATAGGCATGGGCAAAGACTTCGTGTCTAAAACACCAAAAGCAATGGCAACAAAAGTCAAAATTGACAAATGGGATGTAATTAAACTAAAGAGCTTCTGCACAGCAAAAGAAACTACCCTCAGAGTGAACAGGCAACCTACAGAATGGGAGAAAATTTTTACAATCTACCCATCTGACAAAGGGCTAATATCCAGAATCTACAAAGGACTTAAACAAATTTACAAGAAAAAATCAAACAACCCCATCGAAAAGTGGGTGAAGGATATGAGCAGACATTTCTCAAAAGAAGACATTTATGCAGCCAAAAAACACATGAAAAAATGCTCATGATCACTGGCCATCAGAGAAATGCAAATCAAAACCACAATGAGATGTCATCTCACACCAATTAGAATGGCGATCATTAAAAAGTCAGGAAACAACAGGTGCTGGAGAGGATGTGGAGAAATAGGAACACTTTTACACTGTTGGTGGGACTGTATACTAGTTCAACCATTGTGGAAGTCAGTGTGGTGATTCCTCAAGTATGTAGAACCAGAAATACCACTTGACTCAGCAATCCTATCAATGGGTATATACCCAAAGGATTATAAATCATGCTGCTATAAAGAAACATGCACCCGTATGTTTATTGCGGCACTATTCACAATAGCAAAGACTTGGAACCAACCCAAATGTCCATCAATGATAGACTGGATTAAGAAAATGTGGCACATATACACCATGGAATATTATACAGTTATAAAAAAGAATGAGTTCATGTCCTTTGTAGGGACATGGATAAAGCTGGAAACCATCATTCTCAGCAAACTATCGCAAGAACAGAAAACCAAACACTGCATGTTCTCACTCATAGGAGGGAATAGAACAATGAGAACACTTGGACACAGGAAGGGGAACATCACACACTGGGGCCTCTTATGGGGTGGGGAGAGGGGGGAGGGATAGCATTAGGAGATATACTTAATGTAAATGACGGGTTAATGGGTGCAGCACACCAACATGGCACATGTATACATATGTAACAAACCTGCACGCTGTGCCCATGTACCCTATAACTGAAAGTATAATAAAAAAATTTGTTATATACATTTCAATATCACCAACAGTAAATCTCTAATGTTCTGGTCACAAAAGATGTTAAATATTGAGGTGATGGATATGCTAACTAGCTTAACTTAATCATTCCACATTGTATTAAAAAGTCTTACACCACTTTGAACCTCATAAATATATGTAACTATAATTTGTCAATGTATAACAAAAATAAAATTTTAAAAAATTAAAAAAAGAAATTACTTCATAAATTGTGAGAACTGATTATGTGGGAAAAATCAGGACTAATAGAGGAGCAAGTTCCTTTGGAAAGACAGTGGGATGACATCTAGAATGATGATCACCTGTGTGGGAATGGCTTTTGAGAAGAAGGTAATTGTCTTTATTTTAAGAGAAGGGAGAACAAGAAGTATATGCGGATGCATGTGTGTAATTAGATTTGATGGTAGGAAAATAAGGAATTTTAATTTACCAAAAACAAATAATAAAATAAGTAATTTGCTGGATGTGGTTTGTGATGGAGTTTGGGAAAAAAAGAGATAATAAATATGGAGAAGCTTAGAATGCTGAGAAAACACAAAAATTTTCAAAAACTGCAAGCGTTGAGGTAATTTTTGATATTTTCAATTCTAAATGGAAATGTCACCCAAAATCTGTATCACACCTATACAATAATTTAATAAAATAGTTTAGTGGGATGGAGTGGGAAGTGCTTTCAGTGCTACTTACTGCTTATTGTTGAAGGAGGCATGTGGTATCTGTATGTGATAAAATTAAAACTTTTATTTTTCACATGCTATAAATGTGGAATCAAAAAGTTAAGAAATATATATGGGAAGGTTGGATAGTTTTGTCAAAGTATTTAATGTTAAGAAATATATGTACCATATGTACAACTTAAGTTTCTAAAAGTTTGAGTAAAAGAAATTTTTGCTATAATAAAATGACATTTTTCCTTTATACGTACAGACAAAAGCTAAAATCTTCAAGTCACTTCCATTGTGAAGATTACTCTGTGCAATTCTTTACTTTAGAAAGTTGAATCTTTGAATATGCGGATCTCATTTGCATTAAAATACCTTTATCTGCATTGCTATTTTTGCCAGTCTAACAATCAAAAGTGCTTCACAGGGAATGGCCATTTTTTTTTTAATGACAATTTAAGTGCATATGCTTTAATTTTAATATAATTATATCTGTTATGCCTCAAGTCCAGTACTATATTTTATGGCAATAGTGGATCAAATTATAATAATACAATTATGCCAGTTGATATACAAATAATTTTATAGGAATTTAGTTCATTGCCAACTGGTACAAAATTTATGGAAAGTTAGGGATCACTCAAATTCAAATAACACAAAATAATGCATTAGACAGCTTACTAGTAGAAAGTACTTAGCTCACTAAAAAGGACTTTGCAAAGCATATTGGCAGCAGTTTGGAATTCATACAGGCTTATGCAGCTTGAGAGCATACAAATGTGAATTCATTATGGAACTGACATGCAATTTATTGAGTTAACAAAAATCATTATTGCATAGAAAATATGTGAAAAACATGGATTAATGGAGACATTTATTCTGCAAAGAGGTTTTAAATACTTATGACCCAAAAGGTGAAAACTTTTTTGGAAATATTAATGTAAAGATGATGTGATCCTTTTGATGACCTATTTTAAAACTTTCGTGACTTGAAAATTGGCCATATTTCTTTCAGTATGTAGGCAATTACTTAAATATTTTTTGAGCACCTACTATATGTCAGTCACTATAGGCACTGGGGATAAAATGGTAAACAAAAAAGACAAATTATCTTTCCTCATGGACCTTCTAAAGTCGTGTGTCACTCAGAAAAATGAACCAACAAATGCATCTCTCAAGTGATGACAAGCGTGATAAGAAGATTGAAGCAGCAGCAGGGAATAGAGAGTGACATAGGAGCACATCAATCAAGTGCTTAACATTGTACCAATGAAATTGCATAGAGCTGCAAACTAATGGCAGCACATCAAGGTTTGCTTTACTTTGAAACTACTTCATTGCCTTATTAACTGAATGGCTGAGCAGTGAAACGGAAGTACACCAAAGAAGGAAAATAAAGCACCCAACTAGCCTATTGCAATTAAATAATCAATATTCAAAAATTATTTAATTTGTTTTCTACGGATAACTTTTTTCCATGACCCTGATACTCTCAATAACTATTATGATTTTTATATTTAAGGAAGTAAAACTACATATTTTGTACCTAGGTTATTTCATGATAGAAGGAACTTTTCTTTTGGTCTCAATGTGACATGCAAAAATGTACAATATTGAAAGCAGTTTTATGGCAATTTTGCTATTCAGTGCAGCCTATGTGTTTAAATTATGACACACAAATCTTTCTATTCTTTCAGCTGGGCAAATTAAATTTGATAACCTCACATACATTTAGAAAAAAATAATTAGGCTTGAAATCAGCTAAATTTATGTTAAAGTGATACAATTTGTAAGAAAATTGTCCCAAACTGATTTGCCAAACAATGACATGTTTTTACATATTTCAAAACACAAATATATTATTTACGAATAGGAATAGATAGATAGATAAATACATACATACATACATATTGAGAAGAAAAAGATATAGAAAGGTAGTGAGAAAGATAAAGAAAAGAAGGAAGGCAGAAAGGGAGAAAGAGAGAGAGAAAGAGAAGGAAGGAAGGAAGGAAGGCAGGAAGGAAGGAAGGAGAAAGAAAGAAAGTAAGAGAAAGAAAGAAAGAAAAGAAGGGAGGGAGGGAGGGAAAGGAGAAAGGTAGAGAGAAGGAAGGAAGGAAAGGAGGGAAATTACTCAAATGTGCCTATTTAAGTTAAAATAGGCAATGATTATATATTTAATTCCTAGTTGATAATATGTTTAATTTGCCTTTTTAATTTGCTTCTTATTTTAGTGAATATAAACTCAGTTTTAAGGCAATACTTCTTTGTTTTGTATTGACAACTGGCAATTGGAAAAAATTAATTGGCAATTATTTGTTATGTATTGAAATAATTTATATAAAATAGAAGACTAATAATTTTGGTTCCCCCGACCCCGCCTACAATCTAGCCATCAATTGATCATTGGAAATACGATGTACAAGCAAAAGTCATTCTACTGGTAAGTTTGGAAAGGGGAAAGTGAAGATATTTGGACAAACAGAGGGTCCAAGAGTATTGTGATTTGAGGAAGATTTGTCATGAGTCTAGAAGAGAGTATGTAATTGACCAAAATACATTTTCCATCATTTATGTTTTATTATTATTATTGTAATTATTATTATACTTTAAGTTTTAGGGTGCATGTGCACAATGTGCAGGTTTGTTACATATGTATACATCGGCCATGTTGGTGTGCTGCACCCATTAACTCGTCATTTAGCATTAGGTATATCTCCTAATGCTATCCCTCCCCCCTCCCCCCTCCCACAACAGTCCCCAGAGTGTGATGTTCCCCTTCCTGTGTCCATGTGTTCTCATTGTTCAATTCCCACTTATGAGTGAGAACATGCAGTGTTTGGGTTTTTGTCCTTGCGATAGTTTGCTGAAAATGATGGTTCCCAGTTTCATCCATGTCCCTACAAAGGACGTGAACTCTTCATTTTTTATGGCTGCATAGTATTCCATGGTGTATATGTGCCATGTTTTCTTAATCCAGTGTATCGTTGTTGGGCATTTGTGTTGGTTTAAATAGAGATTCTCTGAGCAGAAAGACAACAACAAAAATATTCTAAGGAAACGAGGTATAAGAAATGTCAAGGGCCACCACGAAAAATATAACAAGCATACACTCATTTATGTGTTGGCAAAATGCAGTTTCAAACTGAAACTGAAAAAGTACACATGGAAGTAAGTAAATGAGACAGAAAATCACCATGGATCAATCTGCAGTATGAAAAAAATGTAAATGTAAAAGCACTAAGTTAAACCTTTCTGATAACCAAGTTAACCTGTAATTGGTAAATTATGGAGTTATATCAAAGTACTTATTTTACCTTCTGCATGTGAATATGGTTTGAAAGTATATGGTGAATAAAGGATAGTGGAGGAAATTTAAGAGGAAAAAAGGCCCCATCAACTGTTACAGTAATGAAACAAAATATTTAACAATAATAAATACTGCTCCTAATCTTTTGGGGGTACTTTACTAACTTCTTAATAAAGCATATATTCAGCTATTCATAATAATGCCTCAAAATCTGGCATAAAATTTTTAAATTTCTGCTGATTTTTTATGTTTTACCACAATTCTAGAACCTATTGTTTCAGATTCAGGCCTGCTTTTGCAGTTAGGCAAGTGCTATTTGCCTCGATGTCAGTAGATACTCCAAACTTAACTTGGCTCCATAGAAGAAAGGAACAAAGAGAGAATCTGAGTAGAGACTTAAAATAAAATAGGTTCTGTGTACACAAGTAGAGTCTAAATATACAGGAGAATACCAGAAATATAAAAGAAATGTCAAACCAGATAGAAAAACTTTTTGATGGAAGTGTTACATATCAAATTTTTGTTGGGAAACATGTTGATGAAACGTCTCTGAATCCTCAAGAAAAATACATCTGTTCACTCAGAGATTTATTAATAAAAGTTCCTTTGATACCACTGGATATACTCAACAAGCTTTCTACAGTATGACAAACAAACTGCTGGTTTTATAACTTCACTTGAAAATAAGTATAAGTACTTAAATATTTTTTGGATTTCTTCAAAAGTGTAATTCTTATATAATACCTGAGTCTTTGTGAGATATATTGCATGGGATATTTATTCCATGTTGCTATGTTTAGAAGAAAATATCAGTGTGTTTTCCTACAAACCAGAGAATACTGAAATTCTCATTCCTGCCTTAACCAGATTAGATCCCAGCCCATCAATACAGTCACCCATTTGCACTTTCTCAATATTTTGCTCACCTCTGGGTTTATCATATTTGCCTGAGAGACGATAAAGACCGAAAACAAAACAATCTAAGTTAAACATTCTACTCTGCACCTGAATGGTTTTCCCTTTATTCACGCTGGCTAGATTTACTTTAAATTACTAAATAACATTTCTGGTAGCCCTTTATTACTACAATCAACACGATTAGCTTTCCCTAGTTTACTTCTCATGCTACTAGACAATTGCTTTACACCTTTCCTTCTCTCCCTAAACTTTTAGCACCTCCATCCTCATTCTTACCTAATAAATCTCCTTTCATTTCACAGAGAAAACAGAAGCTAGCAGAAGAGAACTTCAGACCACTTTTCTGAAAAAGCCCTCAACTCCCCGGTATGCTGGAAGTATAATAAGTGCCTAGTTGTGTTGATGGCACAGAAGTCCATATATGTATGAGTCCTTCACTCCATGGCCTTCTCTTATTTCTTCTCCCACTACTTGCCTTCTCCTTTACCCAAGGGTTCCTTGATGTTTCATGAAAACAACAGGAATTTGACTATGCAGATATCTGTGAGTTTTGTTTGGAAAATATTCAGGTGTCTCCATGGTCAAATGTCCCCTTTTCAGTGAGGACATCCATAGACTTGTTTCAAATATGTATACTTAATTCCTACATTTACTATAATACAAATTATATAGTAATTTAGTTAATTATTTAATCATCTGCCTTTTCAATTAAAGGACAAACTACTCAAACTAAAACATGATGACATGATGGCTGGAGCATAGAGAGCATTAAGTTATTTTTTGTTGAATCAATCACATCTACTTTACATCTATCAATTAATACCTCAGTGAGTCTTTCCTATGTTTACATATGTATATATATACACACACATATATATATAATCTACTAAGAAAGCTTTTAAGGTATTTCCCCAGTTTTCATTTGTGTTCTTTACATTTACTTTCCTATGTTAAGTAATTTTTCACTAATAAGAGTTTACTAATAGAGAAAATCTCTTCATATATGTATTTATAAGTGTGCTGTCTAAATATCAAATTAGAATCATTCACAATGCCATGTCTATGTGTAATACATAACATATTATATATCTATATTCATATAGACATGTATGTACATGTGAGACATATATATGTGAGATTTTACCTTCATATATATAAGCAGTCATATTAGTGGGAAAGGCTGAAAGTGAATTGTGTATAAAATATACAAAACAAGCTTGTGGTCCTCATTAAAACCATATGTTAATGTCTGAAGTTAATATATGTTTTGAAACATATATGTTTTGAAAGTTTCCCACTAAATCACCAAGGGATGACAATAATGTGAACAACTATTCTACTGTCTCTCTTTTTTTAAATCTTCACTCTACACCCCTTCTGCACATGTGTATAGCTTCCTGCACTTTGTCTCCCGTGCTTATAGAGAGCAGTAAGCATGTGAGGCACTACATGGTCCCTTTATATCATAGAGATAGTTAGAATAACAGGAGGATTTGGGAGGTGGGCCTCTGGCCAGGGCGACGGCTATACCTCAAGTCTTCAGTTTCTCTATGTGTGAGTTAATTGTTGGATCCCAGAGGTTCAGAGCCTGCAAGGGAGCACCTGAGTGGCCAAAAGATATTTATGTCTCTCAGCCTCCCACTCAGCAACCTGCAAACTTCCTGAAAAGCAGGCGTCTAGTGAGAACTTCAAAATTTTGCTGTAGGCATATACAATTTCCTTGTTGCATTTTTTTACTGAGACTGAAAAATTGTAATGCTCAATGGAGTGCTGAGGTTAAATTTTGAAGTATTAATACTTCTTCAGAGTATGAAGTAATTCCTCAATTCAGTTCAAAATATATATACAAATATGCCTCCTTTATGTATGATGTCTTAAACCCCACCAAAGCAGACTGTGATTTCATTTGTTTACAATTGAAATTATTAAATAAACAAAAAGTTTGCTATCACAGGGAATTATGTTTTTGTTTTAATCTAGTTAGATATTTAGAAACTACCAGCGGTATTCTCTAATGTAGAAAAACCTACTTAAATACATTTTTCCACTCGTGAAAAGAAGTGGGATTTCCTTAAGGATGTCACTGCCTATGCAAATTGGCAAAAATAATCTTACATTCAATTTGCTAGTACAATTACAAATCTTTTAGGGTAGTCTAAGAGAAAGAATCGTTTGTCTCCACTTTCAAATAAACATCCAGTGATAGTTGTTAAAAGGAAAAACAAAAGCAGTCTCTCAAACCTTGAATAATGGATTAATTTCATATCAGCTTACATAGGCAAATTATCTCAAAACTGCTAAAATTTGTAGTATTTTAGGCTTTCCTTAAATAAATTTTACTTTTCTGCAGTCGTTTGGGATATACTTCGAGCACAAACATTATCTCAGCTTTCAGAATCTGCCACCTATCAAACTCCTACACGAGGATTTTGGTTGCCTGTGATGGTGCTGGAACTTGCTTCATCTCATATTCTTCATTAATGTTCTATTTATTGGTTTCAAGCCACTGAAAATGAAACAAAAATCATTATATAAATCAATAAATACATGTTAAACTAAGTTAATAAAGATATATGATAAAAAAATAGTAATCAAAAAATAATCAATTTAGATAAAAACTTGGAACTGTTGTTATAAAAGGAAAACATTGAAGTTAGAACAGAGATGTATCTATCCCAATCACTGCAATAGTGACAGGAGACAGGCAAATTCCTAGGCAGACAGAGATGGGTTCCTGGTGAAACCTGACCTTCAAGCCAAGGACAGTTTAAAGCCTGAAAACTGAAATGCCAGTTCCAGATAGAGTCCACGACCAGAGAGAGAACTTCCATCCCCATCTTACCCACTTTCTTTCTCAATTGGTTCCTTCAGAATGATGCTTTTTAACCAGTTGAATGGTGTTTTTTCCAAGAGCACCTATGGAGCAATCCCATTCGAAGTTCATAGAAACCCTGGACTCAACTTCACAGATGGCTACCCACTTTCAGGGTCCCCTCTTACAGCTGAGAGCTTTTTTTCTGTTGCTCAATAAAGTTCTTTACTGCCTCACTCACTCTCCAGTGTCCAAATATCTTATTACTCTTGTTTGTAGGACAAGAACCCAGAACTTGCCGAGATGCAGGGGGTGGGAGTAAAAGAGCTGTAATCCTTTCTCACTCTCAATGAACTGCAGGAGCAAAAAAGCCGCTGGACGCCACTCCCTCCCACTCACCACCGACAACACACTTGTGTGAAGGGTATAAAAGGGTCACTAACTGGACAAGGTCTCTTCAACTAATGATGTGATCAAGCTAGTAATTTCCTTTGGGTGCATAGGACACAAGTGTTGGCTCCCAAAGGTGTGAATGGTATGGTAATTTCTTAAAAATGGTACCTATTAGGGCACTATGACTCTCCAAAGACATAAGGAGTCCTTTCAGGGTGACTGAGACTGGTTTCCCCAGGGCTGAGAAGAGAAATCCTCATCCCAGTTCATCATTGACACTGGGGCATGAAGTCACTGCAAACAGAACTATCCCCTAGCCAGCCTTTGGAACAACCACAAGGTGAACTCAGCTCTAACTCTGTATGCTGTTCTTTGTGCTTCTTACAAACCTAGTCATACTCTGCCCATATTCTTCAGACCTTTCTATGTCCTCCAACTATGGATGTTATCTGCATCTATATCTAAGGTCTTCTCTTCTCTCTGCCCCCACCCCAATCCAGGATCCCTGTAAAACCACTCTGCTTCCCACATAGCAAAGTTTTTAATACCTGAAAGTCAACTTCCCAGAAGTAGCCTTTAACCACTAAGAATGAATACCCTAGTTCCCTTACCTCTCTTGGAAAGATATTTCTGAAATGTTTTACATAAAGCTTCACAGTCCACTGTGAGAGTAATCTGTTTTCCTGTTGTTTTAGCTGGCTTAAAAGTTTGCTCTTCATTGGTTGCTTTCCCTTCCCTGTATCACTCCCCCTTCCTTGAAGATAATCCCTGTACACCCCAAATGATCTGCTTTGCTGAAATCTGTATCTCTGGTCAACTCGTGGACAAAGCAATTTAATATACTCTTACATCCTGAGGAGTTATTTTATCTTAAACACTATATTGTGTCATTGACTGAGTTTCTCAGATGACTCAATTTTTGTTTCTACGTTGGCAGGAAGTAGGTCTTATTTCTATGCTTGGGTTTTTGTCATTGAATTAGCTCACTGTCTCTCCTGGAGAATCTACCACCACATTCACAAATAAATAGCTAAGCTATTGTTAAGAACAAGCATAAAACCACTAAGAAAAGGATCCTTGTAACTGGTTCCCTTACCACATGGAGGCAAAAAAAAAAAAAAAAAAAATCAAGAACAAAACAAAGAAATAACTCTGTTTTCATTAATATTTCATTCTACATTTATTGAGCACCTACTGTGTCATAGACATTGTAATAAGCTAAGGACTACTACTATTTCTTTCTGACTAGTAGTCAGAAAGAAAAAAGTCTCATCTGATGAAATTTATACTCTCTTGGGATAATAAAGACATAATCATATGAAAAATGATGGAATCATTACTAGAGATTTGTAAGTACTCTGGGAAAAAAGAAGAGGGTGATACAGTAGAATGTCTAAGGTTTGAGTTTTTCCAGAGAAAGCCTTGCTGAGGGTGGAACAACTGTTCTGACACCTGAAAAGAGAGGGAGCCAGGCATGCAACAGTCTAAGCATTGATATTGCAGGCAGAACGAAGAGCAAGTTCAAGGCCCACTATGTAAAGAAGACTGCAATACTTGGGAGACAAGAAAAAGGCTGAGATGGCTGCAGAGTAATGAGCAAAGAGAAGAGGGGTTCAAGATAAACTTGAAAAGTTAGATGGAAATCGAGTTATATAGATCCTTGTACCCTCAGGAAAATGTTCAGCTGTTATTCTGAGTTAATTAGTGACAGCGGAAAATTTTAGGCAAGGAAGACACATAGCCTGAATTATTTTTTAAATGGTTACTTTAGTTTCTATATAGAAAATATTTGAATGAGGTAGAGAACAGAAAGACAACTTTAGAAGCTATGCAGACGATTAATCATGTTATGGCTTTCTTAAGCCTTTCAGGCTGCTATAACGAATACATAGACTGAGTGACTTACAAACAACAGAAATTTATTCTTACAGTTCTAGAGGCTGAGAAATCCAGGATCACAGTGCCTGCAGATTAGGTGCCTCCTTCCTCATAAACAGCTGTCTTCTCACTCTGACTTCAAATGTTGCAATGGCTTAGGGCTCTCTCTGGGGCCTCTTTTATAAGGGCACTATTTTAATTCATGAGGGCTCTGCCCTCCATGACCTAATCATTTCCCAAAGGCCCCACCTCCTAATACCATCACCTGGGGGTTTAGGATTTTAACATGTGAATTTTGGGGTGACACAAACATTAAGAACATGGCAGTGAACTAAGGAGGTTTTGGTGAAGACTAAGAGAAGTAGAGCAATATGGGATATGTTGTAGATGTGTATTCAGTGGGACTTCCTGACCCACTTCTTGATTTATTCCTTTAGTTGACTGTACTCTAAAGGCTTATGCAATAAACAGGAATGGAAGGCAAGTAAGTGTCATGTCATGAGCATGGGGAATGTCCCTGCGCCATGCAGAGCTCCTGTATCATGCTAACTCTAGTGCTTATTTCTAATTTCAGTATCATTGGTTGTGCCTGGTCTTCTTTCAGTGCACCGTGCCTATCCCACAGGGTCAAAACTGAATATAAGAACAAACAGACAAAGAAAGTGAAAAGTTCTATTTCTAGAGTGAGTGTTCTTTTTAGAGACTTATAGTTTGTGTTCAAAATAAGAGGACAATTTAAAAAAAAAACAACGTATACCAGTATAATATTTTTCTATAGAGCTTCCACATCTGAAATGAATAAATCACTGTTAAATGTAGAAAATAGATGGTTTATTTTACTTTCTTGTTTTACATAAAAGAAAGTCAATATTTGAATTTAATCTGTTGCATGGGAATAATATAAATAATACAGGCTATTTTTCTTTTACTTTAAAATAGGGGTCATGAAATAATTTTTGTGCTATATTTCAAACAGTGGCCAAAGTTTCATCTTACAAGAGGAGAAACTATTTTATAAAATTTCACTGACTTATTTTACATCCAGCGCAATCCACTATTTCCAAAAAGTCTTGTTCAGGTTCTACAACTTGCAAGAAATTAAACAAGAGGAGGAAAGAAAAGCAAAGATGGCCGCATTTAGTGAGGTCTAACTTGCATATTCATTGCAGACAATATATTACCATATTCTCTATAAAGAAAGAATATTGGTGGAGAGAAGGAATGTAATTTTGAATAAATCATATTATAATTTTGCAAACGAATTGCTTAGGAAAGTTCTCATTCTTTCAAATCAAATCAGAAACCAGAATTTAAATTATTAGCTCAATTATAAATGAATCATTGGTGCAAGAAAATAATAAATGTAAACTTATGCTTACTTTTTTTTTTCATTTTCCAGAGTAATTTACAGCATCCACTACTGATTCTTTAATTTAGTCTTCACACTTATGTGAATTACCTCTTAATGTTTACTGCTCTATAAAGAAAGTGTATCTGCCATTATTTCTAGAATACTGCAATGATCTAACCATTTAACACAATAGAATTTGAAATTGTATTTTAAACACACATAATGGAATCTATAACAGATCATGCATGTTTTATGAAACATAATGATGCAATCAGATAATGTAAATCAAGGCAGTTTTTCCCCCTATCTTTTCTAAAATTGTCAGGCAGGAGGCGTGACTTAAAAACATCTTATGACCTGTGTGTTTCTTGTAGTGAAAAAAATGTCCCATGTCAATAAATCCCTCTCTCTTCTCTCTCATTTTCTTAAAATAAGATTTACTTTTTCTATTTTAAATGATGGTAGCTTTTGTGGTTTCTGTTCTTCTGCCTGTTTTCTAAGTTTGTGATCAGGTTTTAATTGAGGGAAAGAGAAAGAACTGACATTCTTGGAGATAAAGTTGACAGGAGCAGTGTAGGAGTATAAGAGATGAAAAACAGATCTTCAAATCTTTCTACTCTTTTCTTTAAGATTATAACCCCTTTACTGAGAAAATTCTCTTTTCCTCCACCTCAGGCAGTATTGGTGTGTGACTATACATTATATATGTTTTTTTCTAATTTGGTGTCAATGGTAAAGCATGTTTTTAACTACTTTTGTTTTCCTTGATTTTTTAAGTGAAGTGCATTTTTATAGACAGATTTTTTTTCAGACATAAGCCCATTTAGTTGGTCTTTTAAGATTTAGTTTTGCGATACTTTCATTGAGTCGTTTCACTGAAAATACTGCAAATATTTGCCATTCAAACCCAAGAATATGCAATAGCACCTTTTATTTCTTATTTTTAATAATATTTTCTGTTCCTCTGTAGATGAATCAGCAATTTTGTTTGTTGAAATCTAATTTGATCACTAGAACTTTAACTAACAGTGAGCTATGATTGTGCCCATACACTCCAGCCTAAGTGACAGAGAAAGACCTAGTCTCTAAAAAAAAAATAACTGAATTACCAAACCTAAAACAAGTCAGAGATCACACATTAAGGGACTGTTTCTTAAGAAGATCTAGACAAATATCAGAAATTTACCCTACTGACAATTGAGGGTGGGAGGAGCAAAAGAACAATAAGACGTAATTTCAACCGGATGGAATAAATGGTAACTGATTGCCTCTACCACTGTAGCTGTTTTTGTCCGTTCAGGTTGCCACAACACAGTGCATGATTGGGTGGCTTATTCGACCAAATTTTATTTTTTTATAGTTCTGAAGAGTAGAAGTCCAAGATCGAGGTGTCAGGCAGGTTGCTTTCTGAGGAGGCCTCTCTCCTTGCCCTGCAGATGGTCACCTTCTTGCATTGTCCTCACATGGCCTTTCTTCCGTGTGTGCCCACACTAAGTGAGGGGACAAAAAGAGCCCTGTTTTCTCTTCTTTTTATAAGGACACTAGTCCCAATCTATGACCTCATTTAACCTTAATTACCTCCTTAAAAACCATCTTTCAAATATAGCTATATTGGGGGTCAGGGCTTCAATGTATGAGTTCAGGGATGGGGGACAATTCAATCTCTGACAGTCTATAATAATAATCACTAGAATATTGGACTTTTCATACATTCCAGAATATATGAAACAATTGTATTTCACACATTGACAATAGACAAAGAAAACTGAGAATTCTTTGTCTTGACAATAGACTTATACTATATGAAAATCTTTTAAAAATGCTTTAGTTTAATGAAATATAATTTTATATGAATTTTTAAAAATGAATAGCACTAGAGCTGGCAAATTTCTGAATAAATAAGAGAAAATTGAATAAACCAAAATGATTACATATTATAGGATTACCAGAGAACATTAAATTCAAAAATATTACAGAAATTGCTCAAAGAAAAGAAGAAGAAAAATGGAAGTATTCTGTTTTAAGTTTCTTAAAGTATCTGTGAAACAACATAATTTTTGAAAATAGATTAAAATGTATTTTAAAATATTTTTAAATGCTAGCCAGCACTCAGAAAATAAAACAGAGTTATAAGATGAGAAAAGAGGAAAAATAGGTGAATAAAAGTAAATTAAAAATACTGAAAACAATTGGCAAGATGATAGACTTAAACATACCATATGAATAATTACATTAAGTCTAAATGGATTAAACACTCACATTAAAATGCAGATATTTTCAGATTGAATTTGAAAACAACTGTTATTTTTTTTCTCTAAGAGACACACTTTAAATGTAAAGACACAGCTAATATAAAAATGCCTACCATGAAAACAAAACAGTAACCATAAGAGATCTATTGTGGCTATTAATATCAGATGAAGTAGATTTTATACAAAGGTATTACAGGAAATAAAGAGGGAAATTTCCTAATGATAAAAATTTAATGTATCTGGAAGTAAAAACAGTCTAAATAATAACAGCTTCAAACTACATGCAGCAACGACTAACAGATATTTAGATACTAAAGGCAGAAACAGATGAATCAAGTCATAAGTGAATGTTTTGCCAGCCCTCTCACAATAACAAATGTATAAATGTTAACAACCATAAGAACTACCTTGACCTAATTGACCTCTGTTGAACATCCTAAAATTGCAGAAAATACATTCTTTTTCAAGTGCACATGAAACATTAACCAAGATCATAAGCTAGAATATAAAAACAAATAACAATGTATTTCAAGAATTGAAACAACAGAAAGATAAAATCTCCCCAAAAGTTCAGAAATTTTTAAAAATACACACACATGGGGTGCAGTGCTCATGCCTGTAATCTCAGCACTTTGAGAGGCCAAGACAGGCAGATAACTTTGAACTCAAGAGTTCAAGACCAGCCTGGAGAATATGGTGAAAACCTGTCTCTACAAAGAAAAACACAAATAATTAGCGGGGCGTGGTGGCTCTTGCCTATGGTCCCAGCTACTCAGGAGGGTAAGGGTGGAGGATCACTTGAGCCCAGGGAGCGGAGGTTGCAGTGAGCTCAGATTACGCCACTGCACTCCAGCCTGGGTGACTGAATGAGACTCTATCTCAAACACACACACACACACACACACACACACACACACACTTCTAAATGGACAATGGATTCAAGAAATAAATCATTTAAAATTTCTATATTTTAAAATAAAATATTTTGAACTGAATGATAATGAAAACATCAAAATTTGTGAGACACAAGTAAAATAACACATAGATGGAATTCTATAACTTTATTACATGAAAATCAAAATATTTAATCTCAATTATATAAGGTTCTACTTTAAGAAGCCAGAAAAAGAAAAAAAAAGTTTAAGCACAAAGTTCTTGAAGTGTGGAAACAATAATAATAATATATCATGATACTAATTATAATAAGATGATAATACTAGAAATATATGAAATAGAAAAACTGCAATAAATTAAACTGGTTTTTCATGAGATCAATCAAATTGATGAACTTTTAGATATATTGATCTGATCAAAGAAAAAAATGGCAAAAGAGATACAAATTTGGCATTCTGATTCTTTTTTCACCTACCTGGCCTGGCACTAATGATCTAATTCAGAATTTCACTAATACTCTGTACATGGCAGAACTCAGATGTTTCCTTTCTTGCAGACCTGATTAACTTAGGCAAAGTATATTTCTAGTCTCAAAACTATCTGTTAAGGCACCTGCCTGACTACTCCACATAGTCTAGAGCTGGCAAGTCCTGTTATTTCTCAGGCCCTCAAAAGCCATGCGTATGGAGTTGAAACAGGAAGTTTTCCCTGACCCCTCTGTGGGACTCGCAAAGGTGGTGGCTCATTTCCTCAGGCCGCAGCTCTCAACCTGTCCGAAGGATGGGAGCATGCAGGTGAGTGGGTGCAGGGGCCAGGATGAGTACATCTGGGCATCAGCAGGAGCAGGACTCGGCGCAGCCCCACAGCACCGTCTAGGAGGGTACCCGCAACTCCCGGAGCCCCAGAGGGTGTGTGTTACAGTGTGCTCTTTTAGCTTTGACATTTGTGGACAGCTTAGGTGTTTAACGGTTCCGTGTGACAGCCTTCTGTATCTTGAGCTCTTGTTCAGTGTTCAGGAAGAATCAGGTCACATGAGTGAATTGAAGATGGTAATTGTAGGGGATTTGATTGCCAATGAAAGTGGCTCTCAGCGAGATGGAGAGCTGGAAAGGGGATGAAGTGGGAAGATGGTCTTCCCCTGGAATTTGGCCATCCCTGGCTGAACTCTTCTCTGAGGTCCCACCATGAAGCCATCCCGCTGAAGTCAAGCTGCTTCTTTTCTCTCCTTCTCTGCTGCTCCACTACTAGTGGAGCCTGGGGTTTTTATAGGTACAGGATTGGGGGTGGACATGTGCCAATGTTAGGGTGGTTTTGGAAAAGGCAACATTCAAGCAGGAAAACAAGGATGTAAAATTCCCTTGGGCTGCAGGTCCAGGCTTGAGGGTGGAACCCTTGCCAGAGACCAGCCTCTTCTACTCAGTATTTTTCTGCCTCCTGTCCATATCAGAGTCAGGGGAACCTCAGTTACCTGCCTATTAAAGCACCTAAAGCCACTTGGCCCAGCACATTTCTTTCGTAGGTATTTTACTGTCACATTTGTTTCTTAAGTTTTCTCAAGTTTCCTGAGTCAGTTATCAGACAATGACCTCTTTCTCACATGTGTTTGAATCACTTGGTGAATAATAGGATATGAATGATGTAGATCAAAATATAACTTTTCTTCCTCTTTACTAATAAAGTGCAAATTGAAGAAAATGGCTTGGGTACTTAGTGAACTTGATATAAGTGAAACATATTTGTCTAAAACAGACATAACTCATCATTTACTGATAAACTATAGACTTAATGTAATAGTATAACACTTGAAGACGCAAAGAGAAATATACTCTTTGCAGAAATGAGAACAAGAAGGAAGAGGTGAATGTCAGAATCTTACTTTATTTCCAGGTACCTAATCATAGGAAAAAAAAAAAAAAAAAACCTGGTGTAGGCAAGCAGCTGTTCCCTAAGACTGTAGAAATCTGAGAAAGCTTGTCACATTTCAGAATCTTTCCTAGTTTTAACAGAAAATTAAGATATACTGTTTTTACACCCCAAATCTGTGTAGCATATTATACAATTTGCTCTATATTTTTAGAAGAAAAAAGATCCCAGAGATTGCTGCTTTTAGTGAGGAATTTGTAAGCTGAATACTTCCAGGGAGTTTTGTTGCTTCACAACACAGCACAGACCCTATCGATTCCTGAAACTGTGGTCTTGGCTTAGCTCCATAGTGAAAATCAAAAAGGGTAGTTCAAGTAATTCAATAAGTAGAGATGAATTCAGAGCTTTAAGTGGGGGTAATAAATTTATTGAAATAACATTCCCTTTGGTTTATAATTTATGTCAAATATTATTCCTTTATAAGTAGAAATATCCAAGTAATGGAGCAACTTAATAAGTAAGGTGTTATATTAGTATATATGCATGTAATGTCTTCCCTAGCATATGGCTTTTTTTTAATATTTCTTCAAAGTAGAGCAATATAAACTTCAGCCTCCAATTTCATTCATAATTCTGGTTCTCACCTATGAGAAGTGAAGATGAATAGCTAGTATAACTTCTAGGAATAAATCCAACATCTAGTATTCTTTGATGTTGCTGTCTCTGCACTGTATTTTTAACTTGAATCAAATATTAACACTTATTTTTCTTGTTTCTAAGCAGTATTTTGTTTCCTACAGTAGTTTCAGAACTTGAACTCTATTTTTTTTGTCATCTTCAATCTGTGTCTCAAATCCTTCCTCCTTTGTCCAACATCCCATAAGAAGGAAGCCTCTTTTCATATCCACACAGACTTTTCCTAGAGTTGAATATCCAGTTTTGCATGCTGGTTATTGACATTGAATTTTCATATCTTGCTTCTAGAACTTGTTTTCTACATTATCTTAATAGCCTTCCTAGATATGTACTTAATTCCATTTTTCAGACACCCTAATTTTTTCTTCCTTTGAGTATTTCACATGAACCTTCTGCATTTTATTGCCTTTAACATCTCTTGCAGTCTCTTCCTACCTTGTCCACACACATCTCATCCTCATGTAGTTCAATCACAAATTCTACATTATTATTTTGTAGTCTCTGGAGCTTTCAGTAATTTTTCATCCTCTAGCTGACCTTTTCCTAGCTCTATGAGGCTTTTTTTTTTATTCATTTATTTCATTACATTCACTTGTCCTAATAAGAGCCCAATCTCCTAAATTGTGTTCCATAACCAAAGGCACAAATTTTATTTAGCACTATGATTCCTAGTCTGTATACCAGGGAGGATAAACAATGTCCAAAGGAAATGAAATGACAAAATAAGACCTTATTTCAGAGATTAAATATTACAATGGAGTTCATTCATCATTTTCCAAGTGATGAATGGTCAATTATACATATTAAGAAAATGAGTTTTTATAATTATGGTGGCATTGGTTCAATAGGAGAAAAACAATGTGGAAAAATAAGCATTTATTCAGATAGCTTATGCTAAAGTATGTTGATACAAATAATCATACTCATTGAAATTGTTAATCTCCATTTGTAATTTGAATATGAGGTCCTATTTCACCTTTATATCTAGAATGTATAAAACTAATGAAATCAAGTTTAATTCTGCAGTATTGTAATAATTTCAGTCATATAATATGAAATGAGTTTAATTTTACATTGTATTTATAACTACATTAATAACTGAATTTCTTTCCAGAACTCTAATTCAAGGAAATATGTATAACTTGTATTTTCTATTTTTTTAAGGGGCAGGAAAATTCTATAAAAACTTCCATATTTTTATGTAATAAAAAATTCATATAGTCATAAATAAATAAGCATTGCTAGTTTCCTTGATCTGAAAAAAAGAAGCACAGAAAGACCGGTCCTTCTTATTTTTTAACTCTAGTTTTCAAAGTGGAATTACTAGAACAGTAGTATCAGCACTAACTGGGTGGGATCTTGATAGACCGCAAGTTATATAGCTCCTTCTCAGACCTAATAATTAGAGACTCTGTGGGTGAGGCCCAGCAATCTGTGTCTTAAGTACTTCTAGAGCCTTAGTTCTCAAACTTAAACTTGTCTGATGCATGTTCAAGTTTGAGAACTAATGATCTAGGAAAATTAATAAAGTGAAATGGTGAGATCTTAAAAAGAGAAAAGAAGATTATAAGAATATATTGTATACATCTATAAATGTTTTAATCATTGAAAGAAAAATTACACTTTCATAATAATCTATATTTCAAATGTTCTAAAGCGTATCTATATTTATACAGTTATCTACAACAATTAATGAATGTGAAAAACTTAACTGAACAATTAGACAACTATTTTTTGCCATTTATGTTCAGATTATATCATCAAAGATATGTTTTATTCTGTAATTAAAAGGAACTTTTTTGTGATTAATATTTGCAAGATATGCTATAAGAGTCTTTTCATTTAAAAATTTTTTTTTTAGATGCTGGGACTTGTCTACAAAATATAATCAATATATTTAATATTACATGACTTTAATGATTTCATGCCTTTACATGACCATAGATGAGAGAAAGAGAGAAAAAAATGAAAGAAAGAAAGAAAGAAAGAAAGAAAGAAAGAAAGAAAGAAAGAAGAAAGAAAAAGAAAAAGAAGAAAGGAAGAATGAAAGGAAGGAAGGAATGAAGGAGAGGGGAGGGGAGAGAGAGAGAGAAAGAAAAGAAGAAAGAAAGAAAGAAAGAAAAAGAAAGAAAGAAAGAAAGAAAGAAAGAAAGAAAGAAAGAAAGAAAGAAGAAAGAAAAAGAAGAAAGGAAGAACGAAAGGAAGGAAGGAATGAAGGAGAGGGGAGGGGAGGGGAGAGAGAGAGAGAAAAGAAGAAAGAAAGAAGGAAAGAAAGAAAGAAAGAAAGAAAGAAAGAAAGTAAGTCAATGTAAAAACTTGATACTTAGACAACATATAAATTGTAATTGGTCATCTGCTTTCAAGGAATTTTGGTTCATAAGTCAAGAAACATTAATTTTATTTACATTTGCTTTTCTCTATTTTTTAAGATGTTACCTAAAGATTTGAATGAACTGGGGATCATTTAATATATGGAAATGTTTGAGTCTTACTACTAAGAAGTAAATCAAAATATCTCACTTGAGGTAGAGACTGGCTGTCAGTAAAAAACAAAACAAAATGAAACAAACAAACAAACAAAAACTAGTTAACAGTTCTGACAGGTTTTAGAACATCTAGTTTGGCCCATAAACTATTTGATTATCTGACTATGGCAAAGTAAAATACATGTAAAGTGTTAGAAACACATGTTAACTAAACATATATCAGAAATAAAGGTAATATATTACTGTTATCATCATGTAATTTTTATGGTAAAACAAGATCACATTTTTCTACATCTTCTCTGTAGAATATCTGTGTATAAAGTAAGACAAATGTAAACACTTTAAAATGTATTTTCCAAAGAAAAAATATCCTAAATATAATAATTACCTTGGTTTGAAGACACAGAAAAATAATAAATGATGTATATAACAAATAAAGCTTACTATTGTGGAATTATTACTCCTACAAGCATCCAGGTTAACAATAATTTAGTGGTTCAACAATATTTGGTGGTCCAAATATCTTATATTTGAATATGTAATACATACTCTTAAAAATTGCTTAAAAATTGATTCATTCTTTTAAAAAATGTTACAGAATATGTTCAGGTTTTACTGCATTTTTACTCCTTTCAAAATAACTAAGAGTTTAGATTGTGAATCAACAATTACAAAAGTCTCTTTCAACTACATAATCAGTAGTTTCTCTTTACACATGAAAAACAAAACAAAACAGAAAAACCTATGGCCAAGGTAGCAACAATGTCCAACACAGACATAGTCACATGATCCATGGTAAATAAATGATCCGTACTTATTTACTCAGCTAGTTGAGTTCAGGTTATGTTCTATACTTCAGGTAATGTTCTATACAGAGAACAGTTACTTTTGCTTTGTTGCTGTTGAGTGTAAATCCTTCTTCTGATTGACCAATTATGTGTCATAATTGTGGGTCTAAATAAAAAACGGGTAGTCATTGTTGGGTTAAACCTTGCTATAGCCAGAAAAATTATAGTATGGACTTCTGTTAAATTTCCTTCTAAATAGGGTACATTATTTGGCAAACCTGTGCTAATTTAATCTTGGTGGGGGAAAAAAAAAGCCTTAAGTGCTGTTTCTAACACCTAATCAATATGCTTAAAACATTCTTGGCAAGTAAAATCTCCTATACATGGGGCATGAAATTGCCAATTATTTGGAAGCTAACTTCGTATATTTGTTTATCTGAAAAACTTACATGTTCTCACTTAAAATCTAACATCAAAAAGCTAGAATATGCAGTTCCATGTATACCTTTATAAAAGCATCTTTTTTTCCCTTTGCAATCCCTTCACATCATTCTCATTTACTCAGTGAAGCACTCTCAATGGATCCAAAATTAGACCTACATACTCAGTTCTTTCATACATTCAATTATAGATGAGACAGATTCTGTGTCGTCTTCTGTCATTTTAAGATCCAAAGCTAAAACTAATAGATATACCTTAATTCAACTACGTTTATATCTATAGTTATAGTTTTACAGAATTACACTGACATAGTACATTACCATTTAGGAACATATTTGATGCATATACTTCAGGTGAAACTATGATTATTCAGTAAGAAACATAAGTAATTTATTTTTTCCCTCCGTTTAGGACTGTCTTGTTAATTGGTTTAGTAGAATTTAAATTTATTTTTCATGTGTTATATATTATGAAAGAGCATTTACTTTCAAAATATAAGTGAATGTTCTAACTTAAGTGTAAAAAAAAAAACCTTTACTTTATAAGCAAGCATATAAGGGCACTACAAAATAGCCTTTTGATATAAGGACTATGTAGCATTACTAATTACATGCTATTATGTATCCCTCAAAGCAATTGATAACATTGTAGCCAAAGTAATTTAATACCTAATGACAACATTCACATCTACAAAATAACTTGTTACTGAAGGCATTAAAAACCCTTAACCCAAATAACAAAATTGCCACCAGATTTCAGATATATTTTAAACATTTCTTGGCATAAACATTTGCAAATGTATTTGTATTATAATCACTTCAGGGAAAAATGATAATCTGTAAAAATTCCTTTAGAAATGGGATTTGCTAGATGTTGTATTCAGAATGTTCTAATGCTTCCATATAACCAGAGAAGAAAGTGCTAATGCTGAATAGAATAAAACATTTTTGTTACTTCATGGTGGGTAAGCAAGGTCTTGTATTTTTACACGGCTTCTTGAAGTTTCTCATGGTAATCTGACTAGGTGATCCCATGGTTATTGTCAGATCTTTTCCTCATTTGCCTAAAATAAAGACTGGCAAGTAGTAGCTGGAATGTTCATAATTATAATCACACTTTTTTTGAAGAGCTGAGGATTTCATTTTGGCTTTTATGTTCTATTGCCTATGGGCTGCAAATTACCTCACACTCATGGCAATATTAACTTGCTGGCCCTAAAAGCTATTTGTGTTCAAATCTACGTTATAGTTTTGATCACAGAGGCACTGAGGAGATTGAACTAGATGAGCAATTGTGTTCATATAGTGACTGAACATGTCTGAGAATACAAAGAACTGTTTTTTCTTTGTTTTCAACTGCTACAACTAGGAAAACTCAGTGCTGAGAGCAGAATAATGTTTATTTCTGGGAACTGGTTCTGGGAGGAAGGCGGATGGATTAGGAGTAGGACTTAATTATTGGTTATGTTGTAATTTTAGGAGAGGTAACAGATGTTCATTTATTGTTATGTCTTATTATTTAGATAGATGTTCATTTTTCTTTTAACATACTCAACATTTTAAAAGATAACAGAGGAGGGCCAGGCATGGTGGTGCATGCCTATAATCCCAGCACTTTGGGAGGCAGAAGGGGGACGGATCACCTGAGGTCAGGAGTTTGATACCATCCTGTCCAACATGGTGAAACCCCGTCTTTACTAAAAATACAAAAAATTAGCCAGGGGTGGTGACTCACACCTGTAATCCAAGCCACTCAGTAGTCTGAGGAAGGAGAACTGCTTGAACCCAGGAGGCTTGAACCCAGGAAGTTGGAGTGAGCAGCGATTGCACCACTGAACTCCAGCCTGGGCAACAGAGCAAGGCTCTGTATCCAAAAAAAAAAAAAAAAAAGAAAGAAAGAAAATGGAGATTTATGAAATTTCTCTATGCAAAAAATAGTAAGTTAAGAAGAACAATTTTAATTCTAATTACTGAAAGATTATAAAACTGAAGAGCTAGCTGCAATACAAATTCAGATACATAAATTTATTCAATCTCTCTGTTTGGTATGATGAGAAATATTCCTCAACTTCACGTAAATTGCAGCACTATCAGCCAGACCAAAGTACATCATGGCGCAGAATAATAAGAATAATATATCAAGGAAAAGGGTATCCACTGTCTGTTTCTCACTTCATTAGCTCTGTAACAGGCACATCTACATCTGAAAGAGGTGAAAACGCTATGAAGCTCCCCTTTAAAATCAGAGCTGTTGAAGATGGTTGTGTGCTCATATTTTTATATAAATCATAGCATTCTTTAATAAAATATTCATTATATTCAGACAGATCTGGATGACAATAGAACATCGTGTTTATGTTCATATAAGTGTGCATGCACACATAAGATTTTGTTGTAGGCAAATTAGAGTGGGACTGTAAGGGGTCTCAGGTGTGAGTTCACACTAAAGATGTCAAGCATATTGACTTGTCAGTGCTACTTATTAGCTCATGGTGGAGCTGAACTAGAGTAGACCTTGACTACTGATAAGGCCAGTGCCCTGTGATTCAGTAAAAACAACTAAAAAATGTAATAATCAAGAACTTCCATAGGTCTATGGTTTATATCATGCCATGGAGATTTTTAACATCCTCCATATCTAATTAAATATATCAAAGAAAATTTCATATTCAAAATCGTATAGTATGGAAAATACGCCTGTCTTAGTCATGTGATTGTTTATTCTGGTTTCCATTTCAATATCATAATCAATTTACTTTAAATAACATGTGAAGTATCAAAATTATAATTAAAACAGTACTTTTTAATTTGTTTTAGTATAACTTTATTTTAAACTGTCTTATTTAAATTTGAGATTCTAACTTTTTAGAAGTATCTGTAAATATTTTCGCTTTAGGGGCCCATGTTAATAAATATGTGCCATTATAAGTAAGGAAATTTAAATATTATGAGATTTTCCTCATTATAAATAAACAGATCAATTGATTTTCTATAAGTTATAAAACCTTTCAATTGCACTACTTTGTTGTATATTGCTCAGACTTTATTGTTACCAATTCATGGTGAAAATTATGTTAAATATTTTGGAGAACATTAGAAAAAAACAAAGCTTCAAAAATTGCTTCTCCTGAAAAAACAAGGTAGTATAGTTGTATTCAAAATCAGATGGCTATATTACAGGATAAAATTCTCATTTTCCTGTAACTTATAGTCTTCTGTTTACTGGTTGTCTGACTCTCCAATTATGGGAATTTATTAATCACAAATCAAATGAACGCATTCGTTTCATTTTCTGCTGTCTTTTTCTCTCTCCAGTTGCCAAGTCCAGACACAGACGGAGAGCAGTCAGCAGCTCTAGCCAGGATGACTGACTGTAACTGTATCTGAACTGGTTGTAGTGCTCAGCAGAGAGTACGTGTTTCTACAAACTTTTTGAAATATTAATACACAAATTGTACTGAGGTTTTTGATAGCAGAAGACTGGCTGCTCTGTGGTTTTCTGATTAGGGTTCTATTGGTGATTCCGAGAAGTCAGTGGCGCCTAAATGGGTTAAGTCTAATGAGGTTTTGAAAGCTGATAGCATAATTTAACATGACTTTCAATCTCAGAGCCTCAGCCCTGGCTGACCCCAGCAAATTACAATGTTTGTTAATGCTCTGGTATAGACATCTTCTATTCAACCCAAACCAGATATATTAAGTGAAACAATCGAGTGGTGCTTCTCTTAAGAAATATTGTTCCTGGCTACATTTTGACACACCTTCAGATCAGAAATTTTTTATGGTATCTGATACTCCCAGTTTTTTAGAAGATGTCTTCAGTATACATACACACACACACACACACACACACACACACACACACACACAGATACATACAGGGTTGGCTGAGTTCTTGTTGAGAAAATATAATCTTAACATTTTTATCATTGAAATTGTCTGCAATACTTTTCTCATGGAAAATCTAAAATCAATTTTAAAAATTGCAAGCAAAAGGAAAAAGCCAAGCCACAAACTTCCTGTGGTAAAACAGTTAGAAAAACAAACCTAACAAATGAACAAATAAAAACACTTCAAACAGAATATTTGCATATGCTGTAAAACTAACATGAGAAGAAAGGCTGTGATTGTAAAATTATTTAAATACATTTTTTAGAGAATCAATGTTAATTTCACAATGATAGTGATAGGCTACTGGTGGTTTAGAAGTGAAATTTTCACATATATTAAATATTAAGGTTTAATATTATATATTTCTTAAGGTAGAAATTATACGAACTACAGTTCACAAACAAAGATTTACTTTTAATATCAATAATTTCTTTTTAGCTTAAGGTGGTTATTTATAAATACAGCACCATTGCAGCTTTCCAAATTATGAGAATCCAGATGAAAGCTTAGAAGCTTTGGAAACTTCACTGGAAGCTGATGTTACTCAACCTTTATACCTGTGGGTTTTCCTCAACTATATGAAAAGCATTTTCACCTGATTTTCAATTAATATTTTAAAAACAAATTATGTTTAAAATTCTTCACTACTTATATCATGCAAGTCTTAAAATTGAATTCACTTGAATCAGAATTAGCAGTAGTTTTTAACCTACTAAGATTAAGTCTTTTTTTGAACAAGCTAATGGTGCAAATGTTATGAAGCAAATGTTTAATTATTTAAAGCAAATGGTTCTTCATTTAAATGTTTGCAATTTGATGTATTTCAAAAGGTATAGTTGTCCAATTTACTGAAATTAAGGCTTATTTCAAATTTTAATTTTTAAATAATTTTAACTTTACACATTTTAAGCAATTAAAGCATCCTTATGAAAATATTCAGTTTTCTATGAAGAACATTTTATTCAAATTAAGTTTAGAAAACTAAAAATAAATCTTAGAAAAAGAAAAAATAACTTTATTTTAAAATCTCTATGATTTTAAAAACTAAACATAGTTATATTTATAATATTTCCAATATTATAAAGCAAATAATGAATTAATGTATTTTACATCTAATGACTTAGTGTTTAATTAGAAATTATTTCATTGTATTTTTAAATTTGGGGTGGGGTTGTTGTTCATAGATCTCCAAAAGTACAAAGCTCACCTTATACTAAACAAGAAATAGTAAAAAAAAAAAAAAAAAAAAAAGGCTGGGCGCGGTGGCTCACGGCTGTAATCCCAGCAGTTTGGGAGGCTGAAGCAGGAGGATCACAAGGTCAGGAGATGGAGACCATCCTGGCTAACACAGTGAAACCCCATCTCTACCAAAAATACAAAAAAGAAATTAGCCGGGCGTGGTGGTGGGCACCTGTAGTCCCAGCTACTCAGGAGGCTGAGACAGGAGAAACAAATACATATCAGATGTTATGTTTTTAAAATATCTGCTATACATCAATCATTTTAAATATTTACACATGTATTTCAACAATCTAGCTAATAGTCTAAGTTTTAATTTTTCTCTTTTAGAATTTACTTGCATTCTGATTATAATGCATATAGGTCCAATATTTAAAATTATTATGGCATTTTTTGATTTTACCCAAAAGCTTTTTACTGAGCTCAGTCACCTTTATTTGATTGCTTCGTTAAAAGAGCAAAAATGTCTAAATTCTTCTTTAATTTAAAAAAATAGGATTTTTAAAGAAATACTGTTTTATTAGAAGAGGGATTATCAGTTTAAATGAGGAACATGTATGTGATTGAAGTAGACATTTTAATTTTAATTTTACGAACACTACTACTTATAATATTAAACAGGCACACGATTCCTGTGCTTAACTATTCTGCATTTGGTATAAAAGTCCTTATGACTCACATTAATAAAAAATAATCCCAGTAATTAATTTTACAAGAAATGTAATATTTTCTAAAATAAATATGTCCTTGTTTGTCAAAATTAAAAATTAGAGTAGCTTTTATCTTACTCTTGACTATGTTTAGCAAATGTTTGAGGAAATCATATTATATTCTTGAAAATTTTTATATCTAGTTATCTTTCCATTTCCTGGGCTTTTACTTAATTGTGTTTCATAGATTTCATGTACTATTGTTTAAATATTTATTTACTCATTCATTTCCTATAAGCAATGTCAAATAGAAGAAAAGACTTAAATTGAACAGGTTTGTCCAGGGGAGGGTTGGTCTGGAGGAGTGGAAAATCTTTTGAATCTATACTACTTCTTAGATCATTAACCAGCATCTCAGTAGAACACTTTTCAGAAAGAAAGGGAGACGGATGCAGTTGTCTTTCCTCTCCATTTATTTTTTATGGTTATTTATTCACAGATGATGTGGGGCAGACTGTGTGGAGAGATAAAGCATGGGTAATTTACGGGCAAATGTAATCCTCGATTGGCTAGGATATTCAAAGTGCTCTAAGGAATTAAGAGGAAAGTAGGTCATTTGAATAATAAATATTTTAAACATTTACTTCATAAATGAAGCTAATACATACTTGTTCTAAAAACAGAAAAAAATTGTTTCAGATAGGATAAGGAAGAAAGTTAAACAAAACAGAATTATTAAACCATGCCAGTTTCCACACCTCTATGAATTTCAGTAGGTGGTCCACTTCTGACAGTGTACAAACCAGCTGGAGAGTTTACTAATGAAAGACAAGATACATGTGTTGACACAGCATTAAATGATTGGTTTGTCACTCCCTCAGGATGTGAATTGTGGATTCCATTCTGTAGTAGCACAAACTAACTGCTTTTATCATCTTGGTTTTGTTTGTTTGTTTGTTTGTTTTTCTCATTAAACTTTTTTAATGGGTCTCAAAATTCTGTCACAAAATTTTGGTCAAGTTGTTTCCACTAAAAAGTGCTAATTTAAAAAACTAATAACTTAAAACTGCCACACACAAAACAGAAAATCAAAGTGGTCCACAAAACATTCTCCTTTCCTTCTGAAGGTTTTTATGATGCATTGTTATCATTAACCAGTCTTTTACTACTAAACTTAAGTGGCCAATTGAAACACACACTTCTGAGACTGTTCTTCCACCATTGATTAAGACTAGGCGGCAGGTATTAGGGATAATATTCATTTGGCCTTCTGAGCTTTCTAAGCAGACTTGGTGGCCTTGCCTGCTCCAGCAGCCTTCTTGTCCACTGCTTTGATGACACCCAGGACAACTGTCTGTCTCATATCATGAACAGCAAAGCAATGCAGAGGTGGATAGTCTGAGAAGCTCTCAACACACATAGGCTTGCCAGGAACCATATCAATGATGGCAGCATCACCAGACTTCAAGAATTTAGGGCCATCTTCCAGCTTTTTACCAGAACGGCAATCAATCTTTTCCTTCAGCTCAGCAAACTGGCAAGCAATGTGAGCCATGTGGCAATCCAGTACAGAGGCATAGCCAGCGCTGATTTGGCCTGAATGGTTCAGGATAATCACTTGAGCAGTGAAGTCAGCTGCTTCCATTGATGGGTCATTTTTGCTGTCACCAGCAACATTGCCATGATGAACCTCCTTGACAGACACATTCTTGACATCGAAGCCCACATTGTCCCCAGGAAGAGCTTCACTCAAAGCTTCATGGTGCATTTCGACAGATTTTACTTCAGTTGTATTGTTGACTGGAGCAAAGGTGGCCACCATAGTAGGTTTGAAAACATCAGTCTCCACTCGACCTGCAGGAACAGCACCAATACCACCAATTTTGTAGACATCCTGAAGAGTCAGGCACATGGGCTTCTCAGTTGGACAAATTAGTGATAGGATGCAGTCCAGAGCCTCAAGCAGCGTGGTTCCACTGGTATTGCCATCCTTACAGGTGACTTTCCATCCCTTGAACCAAGGCATGTTAGCACTTGGCTCCAGCATGTTGTCAACATTCCAACCAGAAATTGGCACAAACGCTACTGTGTCAGGGTTGTAGCCGATTTCTTAATGTAAGTGCTGACTTCCTTAATGATTCCCTGATATCTCTTCTGGCTGTAAGGTGGCTCAGTGGAATCCATTTTGTTAACACAAATGATTAGTTGTTCACACCCAGTGTGTAAACCAGAAGGGCATGCTCTCGGGTCTGCCCATTTTTGAAGTTACCAGCTTCAAATTCACCAACACCAGCAGCAACATTCAGGACATTACAGTCAGCCTGAGATATCCCTGTAATCAGGTTTTTGATGAAGTCTCTGTGTCGTGGGGTATCAATGATAGCCAAGTAGTACTTGCTGGTTTCAAATTTCTACAAGGAGATATCAGTGGTGATACTACGTTCACGCTCAGCTTTCAGTTTACCCAAGACCCAGGCATACTTGAAGGAGCCCTTTCCCATCTCAGCAGCCTCCTTCTCAAATTTTTCAATGGTTCTTTTGTCGATGCCACTACATTTGTAGATCAGATGGCCAGTAGTGGTGGACCTGCCTGAATCGACATGTCCAATGACGACAATGTTGATATGAGTTTTTTCCTTTCCCATTTTGGCTTTTAGGTGTAGTTTTCATGATGCCTGTGTTCTGGCAGCAAACCCATTGTGAAAAAACTATCAACTTGTTTTTTTTTAACTTTAACTTCTCACACAAATTAACAGCTTTCTGTTTGCCATTTGCATGTTTATTTCATGCCATGCTTGGTTAGGATTAAAATTGCCTCACTAGTTATGCACTTCAAAATTTAGTACTTCTTCAAAGACCTGCAGGATGACTTGATGAGTATGGAATGCAATTCTCTTCTTTAAATCAAATTAAATGTAAGCTGTCTATGTTCAATACTGCAAGGGTACATTGTGTATGCAATAAATTGAGAATAACTCAATATAAAGAGATGATTTTATGTCTTCCATGTCTAAAATATATGCAATATGATTGGCTAGCTATGGATTTTTACTCCTGGTTTACAGCCACAGGGGAATTTTTAAATTGCAACACTGTAGATCTATGACATTGTGTCTCTGAATATAAACAGCAACAGGGCCCAAAGAAATCAAAGCTCAAGTTTCCTTTTGAAAAAGAGACTGGTGTAAGAAAACAATCTCTCCTTGTTATCACCATGGGATATATCTATGGACTTGAGAGGTCATATTATCATTCAAATCTTTAAAGTCATTTTTTCAGGGTGAAAGAATAAGCAAAAATAAAGCACACTCCTGAGGGTTATGCAATTTAGTTAGCTCTGGAAGCAACAGTGCTAAGTAGGTAACAGTGGCCAGGAAAATAGACCTATAACTAGTTAAAATAAAAAGTAAAGAATCTTACAGTCTTTAAGTTTTCTTATCAAAATAACAAGAATTACCACAACCATTAAACTGATTAGTAGTTCTAATTAAGAGACATAAAACAAAGATTATAAACATAATGAAACTGACCTAATCTGCTATTATCGATGTTCACATACTTATTGACAACTGAGATTGACACAAATTTATTAATCTTGATTTGATAAACATCGGCAAGTTTTTCCTTCAGAAAATCAGTAGTTGGGTAGTTACTTTAATTGAGTATTTGTTTAGCTATGTTGGTTTAGAAACACAATACTTATAAATTCCAACACTTCTATCTATTCTCAATTTAATTGTATTAAGATAAGAAAATATGGTCAATTTGAAGAGAGTCAAATTTTAGAAAAATATGATATTGAATATTATTTAGAAACATCAATATGTCTAATTATTGAAAATCAAATTTTCAGACACAAATCTGATGAATGTTAAAATTGATTTTATTAGTTCCTTTTTTTAGCCACAATGAGGCTGTAATTATTTGCACTAATTCTGTTTAAGTGTACTGCAAACTTCAGTCAAAATGTTAGTAGAAAAGTTTCCTTCATCAAATATGTAGATAGAGATAGCACTTTCAATTTGAGAAAACAACAGTTTACGAGAGTAAGTAATAACTGATTTAAACTGTATAAAATTGGACTGGTCTATTATGGTGCCTAATTATACTAGTTATATAAAATTTCAAACCACGTATCAAATATTCAGCATCTCTTGAGCAAGACAATGTGTAAAATGCTGTGGAAAACTCAGACATGAAGAGTACATATTTATATTGAAAAATCCAGTATTTGCTCAAGGATAAGGCTTTATTTTGTGTAACTTCATTTATTTTGAGATTGAGAGCATGGACTCTATAGAGTTAGAGAGGATAGATTCAAATCTGAGACTAGTCAGTGTCAAAACTTCAAATTGGAAGATTGAAAATAAGTTATAACACTTTGAAGTCCTATTCTGTAGTGTCATCTAGATTTGATAAAAGAATGTCTCACTTTTCTTATCTTTTTTCCCTCAAGAATGTTTTCTCATTCTTTATATGGTACTCACATATTTTCTTGGCTGTGAAGTTTGCTTTAACTTTTCTAGATAGTTTTGGCATTTTTGTTCTCCTATTATGTAGCTTTCCATAGATAGCCCTATTTAACAAAAATTTTTAATATAAATATATAAATTTGTTCTTTTATCTTAATCACCTCATATATCATGGTGATTAGATACAGCAATTAAATTTTTTTAATATTCAGATACAAAGTGGATTGAGTTTATTTTTGAGATACAGATTGAGCATTCCTCATAGGAAAACTAAAATCTGAAATGCTCAAAAATCTGAAACTTTTTGAGTACTGACATAATGCCAGAAGTGTAAAACTTCACACCTGACCTCATGTGATGGGTCAGAGTCAAAACATAGGCAAAATGTTGTTTCATGTGCAAAAATATGTAAAATACTGTATAAAGTTACCTTCAAGTTATGTGCATAAGGTATATATGAAACACAAATTTTTTGTTCAGACTTGGGTGTCATCCCTAAGACATCTCATTACGTTTATGAAAATATTCAAAAATCTGAAAAGATCTGCAATCAAAAACACTTCTGTTCCCAAGCATTTCAGATTAAGGATTACTGAACCTATATATGTAAGGACTTTCTTCTCCTCTATTTCTTTCCCTCCTGTCATTTTGTTCTCTATGTCTTATTCTGATGTGTCTTCCCTGATCAACAATTCCCTTTTCTTTTTTCCCACAGACACTTATTATAAATTAATGAATGTCCTCAAACATATGTACACTTGAAAAACACGTAAGGAATGTACATTTAATTAAGAAAATAATATATAATATTTTATTCAATGTTGTATTAGTCAAAGTTCTCTAGAGAGACAGAACAAATAATATATGTATAAAGGAGGGTTTCTTAAGTATTAACTCACACAACCAAAAGGTCCCTCAATAGGCTGTCTGCAAGCTGAGGAACAAGGAGAGCCAGTCCGAGTCCCAAAACCGAAGAACTTGGAGTCCAATATGTGAGGGCAGGAAGCATGGGAGAAAGCATCCAGCATGGGAGAAAGATGTAGGCTGCGAGGCTAAGCCAGTTTAGCCTTTTCTTGCTTTTCTGCCTGCATTATATTCACTGGCAGCTGATTAGATGGTGCCTACCCAGATTAAAGGTGGGTCTGCCTTTCCCAGCCCAATGACTCAAATGTTAATCTCCTTTGGCAATGCCCTCACAGACATACCCAGGATCAATACTTTGTGTCCTTCAATCCAATCAAGTTGATACTCTGTATTAACCATCACAAGTCCACCGCTTGTCAACTTGAACCCATACACATCTCCTGAGATGATATATAATCTTCAAATAAAGACAATAATAAGGTCATAATTATGCCTAACATAATACAACTATCCTTCACACAACTGGAAATGCACCAATCCCCAACCCAAATGCTATTAAATAAAGTTAACAATACTTAGGTGCTGATATGAAATAAATAAATTTTATGTCACATGATAAAGGAGAAAGAAAATAAAATGAAGATATTTTCTTAGTAGAAGTGTATTCATGCACAAACATGTTTTTAACAAAAGAAGGAGGAAATACTCATGACAATTACAGTCCTCCTTTCTGTATCTGGTCACATGGTCATAGCTGTTATTGATGACTACCTTCTTCTACTACCCATTCTGTGTTATTCCCTTTGCCTTCAGCAAACACCCCAGCAGGTCACGGTTATTTTCCTGGTGGAGTGACCCAAATCTTCATTCCTGAAGGGTCTGGGACATTTGTAATCCTGCCTGAATTGAGCTGTTGTAGTTTCCCATTGACCTTAATCACAGGACATGGTAATATTAAGAGACACCCTAATGGATCTCCTGTATTCCATGTATACTCTTCCTTACCTCAGTTGTGGAGTAATAGACTGATTTCATCTTGATACTCCGGGTCAATCACCACAGCCAACACTGTAACTCCCTTCTTGGACTATTGACTTAAATGTAGGAGGAGCGCAAAGTGTCCAGGTGGCAATCTTAACTTCCACTGTAGTGGAATTATTGTTGTGCCTTTTGGTGGGAGCATTCCTCCCTCTGAAACTAAGACTTCTAGGCCAGCAAGATGTAATGCTGTGGGAACAGGAAACAAAAATTTTGCTAGTGGATCACTAGGGGTGATGGTGAGTGGTGCCACTTCCACTTCCACCCCTTGATTCCTGGACCCATTAATCCTGGCTATGGGAGAAACAGTACCATATATTGGACACTGATTCAGGGCATACACGGCCTTCTGGAGAACTTTGCTCCAGCCCTGCAAAGTAGTCACCTAGTTGTTGTTGTAATTGTGACTTCAAAAGGTCATTCCACCGGTCTATCAATCCAGGTTTTTCTGGATAATGGGGAATGTGGTAAAACCAATGAATTCATTAAGCATGAGCCCACTGCTGCACTTCTTTAGCTGTAAAGTGAGTGCTTTGGTCACAGGCAATGCTGTGTGGCATACCATGACAGTGGGTAAGGTATTCCATGAGTCCACAGATGGTAGGTTTGGCAGAAGCATTGTATTCAGGATAGGCAAATCCATATCCAGAGTGTCTATTCGGGATATGGAGAAACCTTGCCCTTTCCAGGATAGAAGAGGTCCAATATAATCAACCTGCCACCAGGTAACTGGCTGATCACCCCGAGGAATGGTGCCATATCGAGGGCTCAGTGTTGGTCTCTGCTGCTGGCAAATTGGGCACCCAGCAGTGGCCAAAGCCAGGTCAGCCTTGGTGAGTGGAAGTCCGTGTTGTTGCACCCATGCATAACCTCCATGATGGCCACTTCGTTCATGGGCCTATTGGGTGATGACAGGGCTGGCTGGGAAAGAGGCTGAGTGGTGTCCACAGAACAGGTCATCCTATCCACTTGATTATTAAAATCCTCTGCTGAGGTCACCCACTGGTGAGCACTCACATGGGATACAAATATCTTCACAGTTTTTTACCACTCAAAAAGGGCCATCCCACATACCTCTTCCCCAAATGTCTTTGTCATCAATTTTCTAATCAGATTCTTTCCAAGCCCCTGGCCATCCAACCAAATCACTGGCTACAGTCCATGAATCAGTATATAATCGCACATCTGGCCATTTCTCCTTCCAGGCAAAGTGCACAACCAGGTGCACTGCTCGAAGTTCTGCCCACTGGGAAGATTTCCCTTCACCACTGTCCTTCGGGGATGTCCTTGACAGCAGCTGTAGTGCTGCAGCTGTCCACTTTCGGGTGGTGCCTGCATATCATGAAGAACCATCTGTGAACCAGGCCGCAGTCTTCTCTTCCTCCATCAACTGATCATAGGGAAATCCCCATGAGGCCATTGGTGCAGGCTGAGGGAGAGAAGGCAGGGTGGCAAGAGTGGAGAACATAGGCATTTGAGCCACTTCCTCATGTAACTTACTTGTGCCTTCAGGATCTGCTTGAGACCTATCACATATATACTACTTCCATTTGGTGATGGAATTCTGCTGTGTACCACCCACTTTAAGGCTAGATGGGTTAGAAAGCATCTAGTTCATGATAGGTAGTTCAGGTTGCATGGTGACTTGATGACTCATAGTCAAATGTTCAGTTTCCACCAAAGCTCAGCTATAGGCTGTGATGGTTAATATTCAGTGTCAACTTGATTAGATTGAAGGATACAATGTATTGATCCTGGGTGTGTCTGTGAGGGTATTGCCAAAGGAGATTAACATTTGAGTCAGTGGGCTGGGATAGGCAGATCCACTCTTAACTGGGTGGGCACCATCTAATCAGTTGCCAGCAAATATAAAGCAGGCAGAAAAATGTGAAAAGGAGAGACTGACCTAGCCTTCCAGCCTACATCTTTCTCCCATGCTGGATGCTTCCTGCCCTTTAACATCAGACTCCAAGTTCTTCAGTTTTGAGACTTGTATTGGCTCTTCTTGCTCCTCAAGCTTTCAGACAGCCTATTGTAGTAACTTGTGGTCATGTAAGTTAATTCCTTTTAAACTACACACACACACACACACACACACACACACACGCACACACACATCTCCTATTAGTTATGTATAACTAATACATATATCCTGTTAGTTTTGCTCCCCTAGAGCACCCTGACTAATACACAGGCCAAGAGCTGTCTCTCAAAAGGAGGATAGTGTTCTGCAGAAGATGGCAAGGCCTTGCTCCAAAATCCTAGAGGCCTCCACTGTGATTCACATACAGGGACCTGCCAAAGTCTCCAAACTGCATCCCTATCTGCCACTGACACTTCAAGCACCATTTGATCTGCTAGGTCATCTGCCACTGATGCCACAAGCACTGTTGGATCTACTGAGTCATATGGCCCAAGTGGTAAAGCAGCTTGCACCGCAGCCTGGACCTGTTGCAAAGCATTCTCCTGTTCTAAACTCCACTTAAAACTGGAAGCCTTTTAGGTAACTCAATAAATGTGCCAGAGTAACACAACCAAATGAGGAATGTGTTGCCTTCAAAATCCAAATAACCCACTAGCCATTATACCTCTTTCTTGGTTGTAGGAGGAGCCAAATGCAGCAACTTATCCTTCACCTTTGAAGGAGTATCTCCACATTCCCCATACCACTGGATCCCTAGAAATTTTCCTGAGGTAAAAGGTCCCTGAATTTTAGTGAGATTTATTTCCCATCCTCTGGCATGCAAATGTCTCACCAATAAGTCCAGTGTGTTTGCTACTTCTTGTTCACTGGTTCCACTCAGCATAATGTTATCAACGTAATGGACCAGTGTGATACCTTGTGGAAGCGAAAAGCCATCAAGTTCTGTCTGAAAAAGATTATTACAGAAAGCTGGGGTTTTGATATACCCCTAAAAGGGTAGTAAAGGTATATTGTTGGCCTTGCCAGCTGAAGGCATATTGCTTCTGGTGGGCCTTATGGACAGGAATGGAGAAAAAGAAATTTGCCAAGTCAGTGGCTGCATACCAGGTACCAGGAGATGTGTTAATTTGCTCAAGCAATGAAACCACATCTGGTATGGCAGCTGCAATTGTAGTCACCACTTGATTAAGCTTACAATAATGCACTGTCATTCTCCAAGATCCACCTGTCCTCTATGAGGCCAAATGAGAGAGTTGAATGGGGATGTGGTGGGAATCACCACCACTGTGTATTTCAAGTCCTTGATGGTGGCACTAATCTCTGCAATCTCTCCAGCGATGCAATATTGTTTTTGAGTTATAATTTTTGTAGGTAGAGCCAGCTCTAATGGAAGCCATTCAGCCTTTCCCACCATAATAGCCCTCACCCTACCAGTCAGGGAGCCAATATGGGGGTTCTACCAGCTGCTAAATATGTCTATGCCAATTACGCATTCTGGCACTCAGGCACTGACCACAGCATCAGTCCAGGGACCCACTGGACCCACTGTAAGTCGGAAGTGAGCTAAAACTCCATTAACTACCTGACCTCCATAAGCCTCTACTTTTATTGGAGGACCACATTGACATTTTGGGTCCCCTGGAATCAACGTCAGTTCAGAGGCAGTGTCAAGTAGTCCCCAAACTGTCTAATCATTTCCCATTCCCCAATGCACAATTACCTTGGTAAAAGGCCAGAAGTCTCCTTGGGGAAGGATGGGACAAAGATTCACTGCATAAATTGTTGATAATGTAGTGGGGTCCTTCTTCAATGGGACTCAGCCTCCCCATCATTCAAGGGGTTCTGGGTCTGTAAACTGGCTCGTGTCTGGAAATAGATTGAGGGGTAATAATTCTCTGTTTTTATGATTTAAATTACTCTTTTGTCTATTTTACCTAGAAGTTTTCTGCTTGTATAAATTAAGTGGGAATGCAGTAGGCTTCTTATCAATTTCACTTCTAGGAACACCGCAATTAATTAGCCAATGCCAGAGCTCTATACAAGTCAGACTCTTCTGATTGCACTTTGCATCTGCTGTTTATTACGGTAGCCATGCCCACCTTGTCTTTGATGGTTGTGTGCTGCCACTAGGCCCCTGCCACCTCGGGATGCAGTTATTCCCATTGTATTTAAATTTTGTAGTTGAGTGACTGCAATTTCCACTGTTAGACCTGACATACAGAGAAAAACAATTGCAGGGCTCTTCAGAAAATGCAGGTGCTGCCCTCACAAATCTATTTTGCAAGGCGTTGGTCAAGAGTATATTTTCTGGACCCTCCCAGCTGGGATAAGTATATCTAAAGTGACTAATCCACTCCACCATCCCTATCTCCCTAAGGCTTTGGTTCACTTCCTCTACCTTAAACCAAGGGAGATCAGGTATTCCCAGCTCACTCACAGTGAACCATTTTTTAATTCATATTTCAGCTAACCAAGCAAATAAACTACTAGAACCTTTTTTAACTCCCTGAGCTGCAACATGAAATGCAGAATCCTACTTAGTGGGCCCAAATCAATAAATTCTGCCTGATCCAAATCTATGTTGTTTCTACCATTATCCCATACCTTAATGTCCATTCCCATGCCTGTTCTCTAAAACTCAAGCAGTTTTTTATTTTATTTTATTTTAGTGTAGCACACCTCCTCATGGGTCACACTCTGAACCTCACCTCTAGGGGCCTGCTGGGACTTTGGTCTAGTTATAGGTCTAGAAGCAAACTAGGGTGTTGGGGGTAGCTCCTGAGGAGAATCAAAATTATCTTGCCTGGTAACCGTCTCAGGGGAGGGCATCAATGTTGCCTTAGGCAGCTTAGGGTTTATCTCCTCAGGCAAAAGTAGGAAGGCCAATGGCAGCCGGAGTCAGGGAGGGGATGTTGCCACTACTGGGGTTAGGGAACTTGTTTCTTCTGGCAAAAAAAAGTTCATCAAAGTTTACAAACTCAGTATGCGCAGCTTCATCGGGGTCCTCCCACACATCCCCATTCCAAATTGTAGAGTCCCATTCTTTTCCAATCAATCCCCTCACTTTAACAGTAGACACCTGGCAAGGCTGTGTCTGCACCTTTTGGTGAAGGTCAGGCACTTTCATGACAACAGCTAGTGTGTGTTTTTCAACAATTTCGGCTTTTTCTCTATGGGAGATAAAACTCTCACAAAGGGGAATCTTAGGTTTGAGGCTCAGTATCTGCTTCTGAAGCTGGAAGACAGAATCTCTGAGTTAATCATTTTATTTCATCACTTTGTCCACCAAACTTAGGAGCAACCAAGCAGCTTCATCATGTTCCTTGGTTCTCCACCAATGGTCAAAGGTATTATGTATAGAGTTATTAAACTCCTTGCCTCTCATGAGCGGTAAATCAGGAGTGTCAAATGCATATATATACACATATATACATATATATGTGTGTGTGTGTGTATATATATATAAAATATATATGTACATATAAAGGGAAGTATCTGAAGTGTTAACTCACATCATCACAAGGTCCCATAATATGCTATCTGCAAACTGAGGAGGAAGGAGAGTCAGTCCACATCCCCAAACTGAAGAACTTGGAGTCCAGTGTTTGAAGGCAGGAAGCATCCAGCACTGGAGAAAGATGTAGTCTGGGAAGCTAGCCCAGCCTTTTCATGTTTTTCTGTCTGCTTTATATTTGCTGGCAGCTGATTAGATGGTGCCCACTCAGATTAACAGTGGGTCTGTCTTTCCAAGCCCACTGACTCAAATGTTAATCTCCTTTGGCAACACCCTCACAGACACGTCCAATATCAATACTTCAATCCAATCAAGTTGACACTCAGTATTAACCATCAAATATGTTATTCCCTTTCACTTATATTCAGTGATATTTCATTTTTAAAAAGACTTATTTATGTTGTGTACATAGTTTAAGTTACTCTTTTGACTAATGCGTTTTCTTCTGTAGTTAGCATCTGTATTATTATTTACCATCTTGTTAATGATACATATTAGATTGTCTCCTTGTTATAGTACTCAAACAATGCTGTAATAAAAACCCATGCAACACTTTTTTTTTTTGGAAACCGTACACTAGTTTTCCAGAATGAATATACAGGTGTGACTTGCTAAATCATCAAGTATAACTATCCATAATTTCACCAAATTATCACTCATGATATGTGAAGATTCTCATTTCCTTCACCATCATTTACTATTACTTGACTTCTACATTTTTGCAAAATCAGTTGAGTATAAAATGTTTCTTTATTTACTCTTCTTTTCCAACCAAAAAATTGAGCTTCTCTTCTCATATTTGCAAGGCACTGGATTTTTTCTATAAATTGTCTTTTTATATGCTTCTTACAATATTCAATATTCTTCATACCAACTTTTTTTTACATTTGTAAAGTACCATTAATATAGCAGACGTATTATCCCATTATTTATTTTTTCTGTTATTGCAAAATATTTAACATTAATAGTGCTGAAGATGTCAGAGAAGGTTCTGAAGTACATGAGGTATCATGTACTTCATGAGGTATCAGAAGCTAAGACCTTTCATAATTTAAGTATCAATATAAAATGAGCTTCTCTTCACCTGTAGGCTGGTAAAATCCTGGCATGTTTGTGTTTCATCACTGATTTTTGAAGAAGTAATTAATTTTCTTGCTAATTTAAAATTCTTATCTACATAATATTTCTGTAATCAGCATTTAAGACAATTTACACAATATTTTTTACTAATAAAACCTCAGTGTAATTTTTTGGAAAGAATATTTCTTTCGTATTGTATATATTTCCCAAATGCTGGTAAATGAGAATATGTCACCAAACAATATATGATGAATTTATGCAAAAGCAAGTATTTTTTTAAAGTACACAAAACACTACAGGGAGGAACAAAGAAAAAAAAATCACTTGTTAAGTACTTTTTAAAGTACAAATATGTACTTTTGTTTATGGCTTCTACCTTTTACAGCATTATTCAAACAATCTATTGTTGGAATCAAAATAATTGTACATAGAGTGCATACATCATCTCATTGAATGCATATATTGAGAACAATAATAAACTTAACTCTGATTTTCTTTTATAGTTAAAAAAATAACCAATTCATTGCAGACTTAAATATTTTCTCTGAACTTAATCACAATTATTAACATACTTTGGTAAACCAAGGAGTGCAATAACTAGTAGCACTATAAATGGCACAAAATAAATCTGAAAGTATTTATGAAATACTAGTTAACTATTATCCAGAACTTCTGCTAATTATCCTGTCTTATAAGAAGAGATAATGGGAACTTTATATCAGTTATCTGTGATTTTCTAAAAAAAATTCCTTATACACTTAATTCTGGGTATCAGAAATGTTATTTAAATGGTTCAAGTTTTAAGAACTAGCAGTTTTAAGCTAACTCCTTCAACAGGAGTCAGAATATAAGTTCAGTGTTCCTACAAAATAACATTTGTATATGTTCCTTGCTTCCACACTGTTTCCCTTTCTCCTGATATGTACACAAATACCATAGAGCCTACAAACATAAATTTATGAAGTTTACATGTCTTTGAAAATGAGGCCATCTATCTATCCTGACTTGCAAATATAGTTCTCTATGTTGCATTTCTGAATTTCTTCTAGATACTCAATCGACACTTGATAATTTGAAATATTATTTATTTATAAAGACACACCATTAAATAAATTTTAAAAAATCATTTATCAGTACATTATTATTACATTATTATAACATATATTATTATGTTATTATCATTATCTGTACATTATTATTATTACTTGATATATTTTAATTATAAAAATAATGTTTTTTGCATTTTTTTGAATTATTTGTATTCTGTTTAGAATGTTTGATAAGAATATGATTTCTGATATATATGTACCTTTCCAGTAGATGGTAGTACAGATGTTTATAAGAGAGCATTCAGTAGTATAGACTTCAAAAGGAGAGAGAAATTTTCAAACTTGAAAATAGTATATTAAAAAAACTTAATATTAAATATTATATGAATTATGAGGGACAGGAGAATTACAGGAACCAAAATATTTAGTTTTAACAGTTAAAATTTAAGAAATAGTGTTCATCTGCTTGTGTTGCTTCTGAGTAAAATAAATTTTAAAAATCAAAGCACCAGTCCTCAGGGCATGAGTCTCCAATGTCTACATGTGTTTATTATTTTTAATCCAAACACTGCTTTGTTCAGAAATCCTATTCAATGTGACATCTCATAGTCAATGCAATCTTCAATTATATATCTTCAATTTTTATTTATTGTTAGCTAAACAACATTGATATTTTGTATCCCTTGAGGTTTTCCAAAGTAAATATTTTCTCTTTAGTTTTGTTGATGTTTATAGTTTGCCCTATTAAGGGCATTTTTGATTTAAATACATACTATAAATCAATGAAATTGCAAAGATAAAGTGTTCAGAAATTTTCATGGGCAGGTTGTGAAAAGAAAAGAAACATAATCACAGTGATTATATTTGTATAAAATATTTTAATGCCAAACAAGCGTTTGATTGAGGATATTATATAAAGAAGAGATAATTATTTATATGTTTTGATTGGTAGAGAGAACTATGCCTGGTTAAGAAGGAAATCTTAGCCTTGTGGTTTATACATATGCCTACAACAGTCTGTTCAGCACTTTCATGCACAGCACTAGTCTATTTTTTATTATGCTTTAGCCTTTGTAGAGTCATTGGTGTTTAATTAAGCCCCACTAGGAGCAAGTGTAGAAATCACTTTACAAAACTACTTTGATTCCACTCTACACTGTGGCATAAACACCATGTGCCCTGGAATAATTATGAGCAAGTGGCCTATTTGAAGTGAAGTGCAGCAGCTTGGTTGTATGACCTGCTATGGGGACTATTTAATAGCTCCTTCTGGGGCAGGCCAGGAGTTACACAAAAATAGCAACCTCTGCTGGCAATTCTGTAATCATCTAGGTGGGCAGGGAGGCACCGAATGGTCCTTGCACTAACCTTGTACAGAAAGTTACTCTGGTACTTTTAGGTCAGGATGAAAGAATAGTCTGACATAATTCTTCCAGGCATTTCCAATACTAATAGTAATTTTCAATTATTTTGCTATTCTTTTGGTTTGAACCATTATATTTTTTGAAGATTTTTCTTTCATGTGAATGACATTTACCTAATATTGCTAAGTAATTGTTACTTTGTTAAAAAATTGTTACCTAATACTTTTGAAAGTTTTCCATTTTTACTTGAAAAAAACTCTTAGCAGCCATCTTCAAAGTTTTAGTGCTAGTTTATTTTTATTTTTAAGTCACACAACCTTGTGTTGAAAGGAAAATTTAGAGAACCTCATTATATAAATATTTAAAATTAGATTTTCTCTGGTCAATTGGTAGAGTGGTTGGGAGGTTATAAAACTCTTTTCACCCATTTTCTATTACATTTCCATTGCCAAAGGTAGCTTGATACAACATATGGAGGCTTAAACAAGAAAAAAAGAGAAAGAATATAGTATATTTGATATCTGCTTTTAATTCTAGGAAATTACAAAAAAAAAACTTAGTTCAAAAATATCAAATTACACAGAAAGTGACCAAAAAGCAATTTTTAGGATTAGCACTGAATATATCTTCACAGGAGCCTATATCAATAGAGATAACTAAAAACATATAAATGTAAGCCTCATGCAAATACAAACATATATATTGATAAGGACTATACCATTTATTATAAAGAAACATTGACGCGAGCAAAAACTCTTTCCACTATCTTCATTTGCACTTCAATGTATTATTACCCAACACTCTTATCATATATACTTCTTTATCATCATTATTTTTACCACAAGAAATCATTTTTCTCTTTTAGAGTGATTTACTCCTACCCCTACCCTACACATAATTAATAGGAAGGTATTACTATAGTCTGAAAATTGATCTCCATTTTGCCTGTGTCTCTTGTGTTTCTCCCAATCTGTTTTATATACTCAAATTTAGATGTATATATAAATCCAATTTTTGCTGAATCCAAACTTCCACAACTGAGTTCAACTACCTTTTGAGTCGTACCTCCATACTCCCTAAAATTTATTCTAAAGATCAAAGAAATTGAACTCTAACATCTTCTTGATATTCCCTAGCAAATGTTAACCTATTTAATTCTCCAATGGCTTTATTCATCCTACCTCAACTGTCAGCAATGCCTAATCTCCCCTTAGTAAAATCGATTCATTGTTTTATGTTTTATTCAAAGGGCATCTTTAAATTCAAGGCTTCACTGAGACCCCCATGTGGAAGAGTTTATTACCTTCTGAATCTTATAGGATACAATATAATGTTCATGGTAATTTGCCCATGTTCCTTATATTATTTTGGTTTTTATCTCCTTTGCTAGATTTCAAAATCATGATATTTTGTAGCTATGGATTATTTATTTATTGTATTCTAGATTTTCTGCCTAAGAACAAATGAGAAAAAGCATTTGTTAACTAAATTTACAAATATTAGTATTAGAAATTTTAAAAATATATATTTTGGGGGGTATGACAGAGGTAGTACAGATAATTGCATAGAAACAAGAAAAAAGCTGTAAAATATTTTGACAACCAGTTTCAAAAATAAAATTTAGGCCACACACGGTGGCTCACACCTGTAATCCCAGCACTTCGGGAGGCCGAGGCAAGCAGATCGTGAGGTCAGGAGTTCAACACCAGCTGGCCAACATGGTGAAACTCCATCTCTACTGAAAATACAAAAATCAGCTGGGCATAGTGGCTCTTTCCTGTAATCCCAGGTACACGGGAGGTGAGGCAGGAGAATTGTTTGAACTGGGACCAGGGAGGTGGAGGTTGCAGTGAGGTAAGATCGCACCATTTCACTCCAGCTTGGGCTACAAAGCGAGACCCGTCTCAAGTAATAATAATAATAATTTAAATCATAAAAATGTTGGCCAGACGCGGTGGCTGAAGCCTGTAATCCCAGCACTTTGGGAGGCCGAGGTGGGCGGATCACGAGGTCAAGAGATCGAGACCATCCCGGCCAACATGGTCAAACCCCGTCTGTACTAAAAGTACAAAAAAATTAGCTGGGCGAGGTAGCGCCCCTGTAGTCCCAGCTACTCGGGAGGCTGAGGCAGGAGAATCGCTTGAACCCGGGAGGCGGAGGTTGCAGTGAGCCGAGATGGCATCACTGCACTCCAGCGTGGGCGACAGAGCGAGACTCCATCTCAAAAAATAATAACAAATAAAAAAAGTTTACCTCAGTGTGAAATATAAAAACATATCTATTTATAAACTCTTACTGCTTTTCATGTATATTTTAATGAAATATTGACACACATCTTTCTTTAAAATTACTATGTATTGAATATTTACAAGGCTGGAATCATTTTGTAATATTTCTCTATCATAGCAAAAGCAAAGACAGACATTTGTATAAGAGTTTATATTATGAAATAAGTGATAATAGAGAAGATGTAATTGATACACAGAAGTCTCTTCCATGGCAACAGATATAATTAAATATGTACACACTTTGTTGTGCCTTTTTATTATTAATATCCTTCAGAAGAGTTTGCATGTGTTCTCTTGTTCTTTAGGGCATAAATTGGTGATGTAAAAGTTGTATTATTGACACCCTGAATCAACTGCTAGGTACATGTTCTAATTTCACTACATGACCAAAATATAGTCAGAGGTATTAATCATATTCACCTTTTTAAATGTGAAAAAAATAAACCAACTTTATCTCCATGAGTAACTTCCTAGACTAAAGTCAGTTAACTCCAAATTTTGAGCTGTATTTCTTGAAAGAATAAATATCTTATTTATATTACTTGTAAAACATATTATTGGGTAATGTGTTGTGACATTATTATCAGTTTATATCTTGGATTACAAAGTTAGCTCTCAGAAATTTTAAATTAGTCAAGCTCTTTGCTTGTGATTAGCTGTGTTCTCCTCAATTGAGTAGCCATGACTTAGTTACTTATGCAATAAGCTTTGTGAAAATAAAATTTTAGAAATCTGTGAGACTATTCGAAAATATATTATAATGATTTCAGTGGTGTGAGACCTTGAGCCGGGAGCCCAACTAAGCCATGCCCAGACTTACAATTTACAGAAACTTAGATAATAAGTGGGTGTTGTTTTAATCTGCTAACTTTGTGATAATTTGTTACACAGGATAGAAAACAAATACAACCCCTCTTTCATTTAAAACACTCCACTAATAAGCCACATGAACAGGGATCCACATTTTATATTCCTCTTGTCAGTAATTCTGAACTAAGACTCAGTTTCAGGACAAGATCTCTTTTCATTTATACTATTATGGTTCACCTGGCCTCCAGGATTTTTATGTATTTGACCAACTGTCTCAAGGCCATGCAGTTATTTCCTGACACCTGCTTCTACTTTGTTGATGTTAGTCACTTTGGCTTTCTTAGACATAAGTCACAGACCTAACTCCTATACCTTCCCAACCACATGGGCACATACACAAATGTATTTCAAACTCAATCAGTCGTCAATTTGAAGCCTCTTTCATTAATCTTGGGTTTAGGAAATCATACTAGTCATATCTTCCTCTTGAGAATTAGGAAAATGATTCAGAGCATAATTCTTTTGAAAGAAATCTTCCTTATCAAATCTATTTAATTACTCATATCTCCAGACATTTATATTCTTGTTGAAGAATAACACTGGAGTCTGTAGTGACTTTGTACTGTGTCTTAGGTAAGCTATAACTATAATGACAAGAATTCCTTTCTTTTTGTGATTGCATGTGAAAAGTGTTCGTAAGAGAAATTTGCATGAGTTCTTAAAGTTGGAAGTGAAGACACACTACAGCCATTCCACTATGAAGTGTGTTATGTCAGGTGTTACTGTGACTCATACACATTGTCACATGTCTACTGGTCCACCTTATTGGTAAAGTACAATAGACAATTCCTGTTGTTTTTCAGATATTTCAAAATCTAGGTGGAATGTCTGTGTAGCCCTGTTGCAAAGGATTCTAGCTTCTGTTGCAGGTCAATCATGTCATTGATTTTAGATGCACTGAGAAGAGATGAGAGTTTCAGTTTGTTTTTGTGGGTTTCAGATTGTCCTTGGGGCCTAAATTATCCATTCTCCATTGCTCCCTGTTCAACTCATCTGTCTTTCTTTCTTTTTTTTTGAGATAGAGTCTCACTTTGTTGCAAAGGCTGGAGTGCAGTCGCATGATCTCTGCTCACTGCAACCTCTACCTCCCTGGTTCAAGCAATTCCCCTGCCTCAGCCTCCCTAGTAGCTGGGATTACAGGTGCACACCACCACACCCAGGTAATGTTTTTGTATTTTTAGTAGAGACAGGCTTTCATCATGTTGGCCAGACTGGTCTTGAACTCCAGACCTCAGGCAATCCGCTCGCCGCGACCTCCAAAAGTGTTGGTATTACAGGCGTGAGCCATCGCGCCTGGCCTCAACTCGTCTTTCTAACTGCCAGCCCTGCTGGCCTATAGTGGCTTTAGGCTCACTAACAGATAGTGGGGTGCAATAGCCCTTCAAAGACTTTATCACAATTATAGAAAATCTAATCCTTACAATTGCTTTTTCTGGAATTAAAATATTAAAATTCTACCATCACTGCTTCAAGGCTGACTTCATAAGAAGTCACGTATCACTCATGCTATTCACATATCACTTAATACTTCACATACCTCTCATACTAGTCTTGCTTTCCTGGTCAAACCCTGACAGCTATGAATACCTACTTTGAAATTTCCTCATGTCGGTGTGGATTTAACAACAACAGCATCTTAAAAAAAATATTTGTATCTTGTAACATATGTCTTTTAATAGAACTCATCTTTCTATTATGTTTGATCGTGAACAATAGAACATTCAGTGTCCATTTGCAGCATTTGTCTTAGTGTGTTTTATTTTCTATTTAATGCCATGCTCCTTCAGTCACAGAGACATTTGTTGAGCAAGTGTAGACCTTCATAGAGCTTGACCATGTGCACATGCATGCACTTGTCCTGGCAGTTGACACGTTTCCCCTCCGACCAGCTGCTGGACTGTGGCATACTGTCCCAATGGAAGGAGTGAAAGCAATCTTTTTTTTCAACAAATCACCACCTCAACCCATGATGGAAGGGTGACCTCTAAGGTGTTATAATCTCCATGTCCCAAGATGCTCAACATCTAGATTCAGGGGATATGAGAGTTCTCAAGTTGCTCACCAAACATACTTTGTCACTGCCAGCCTAGGGCAGGGATGGCTGCCACCTCCTCCTTGAGATATGATAGAGTATCTGACTTGTACTTTTATGTAAGACCAATTTGATTGTATGGCCATTCCCAACCCTACCCAGGCCTGTGCCAACATCCCTGCAAAAGGTAGATGGGAAGAGCAGAACACAGACATCCTTTCTGCTCACAAAAACAAGTTGCTGAAAGATGGCAGAGGTCATATGGCAGAAGCATAGGAGAGACTGGGACATCAGGGTAGAAGAAAGCTGAAAAGGACACATTCTAAGAAGGCAACGTGAGATGTTGAAATGAAGAACTCTGCATCGGCCACATCACCAAGGCCTTGTTGCATGCTTCATTGTCCCATTGGAAGTCACTTGAAAACAGAAAATCAAAGATAAAATTATTAAGAGTTTCAAGACAGTATATAGAGAACATTCAATCTTAAGCATGAGGTCTTTTGAATGTGGGTTTCTGAGGAACTTCACTGGCTACATATTCATGAAGGCAGCCCTAATTCTTAACTTTATGAAGTTAGGAGCACATACTTCACTTTATTTAGCTTTTAAGAGAAATGAATTCCCATCACATAACACATGTAGTATTTGTCTGGAAAGCTACACAGTTCTGGGTCAATGTTCTATATATAGTTAAACAATATGTAGAAACAGTTTCCATGTTTACAAGATGTAGAATTAAACCTGTAGTCAAAAGTTTAATAGATTTCAACATAAAATGGAATTTTATAAACTTTTCCTATGAAGTCAGCCTTGAAGCATGAGTGATAGAATTTCAATACTTGAAATTCAGAAAAAGCAAGTGTACATTATGTTATTGAAGGTCATTGCATTAATTTAGTGACTAGTATAGACATTGCAAAGTAAATGTGCTCAATTTTAAAATAGATACTTTTCAAAAACCTACTTGTGGTCAAGACAAACTTCCCGGATAATTTGGCATTGCTGTTACAGAAGTCCATATTCATATTCATTTATATTCTAGAAACCTATACCATAGTAACATGCATATAGAATTGGATTTGAATTCTGTGAAGTTTCGAATACTTGGTCTCAATTCTGTTTCTATCCGACCTATTTAACAGAAAGCTAAAGTCACCTCTGGGGGATATATCTTTATGAAAGCAAGTTTGACAAATGATTTAGGGAGGAGCACATATCCATTAGATGAAGCCGTGAAAAGCTCATTTAGAAAGATCAATCAGGAAATAATTAGCCTCAGGATATTTGAAAGTGAAATAGCCAGTTTGGGATTAGAGGTGAGAGAGAGAAAAAGAGGGTCAAGGTTCCTCAGAATGTTCTCATCTCTAACAATCCTGATTTAATCTCCAAGGAATAGGACCTGCGTATCACAGTTGATTTTAAAAGTCTTCATCAGATGCAAAATTTTGCTTGTCTTTCTCTTTGTTAGTGCAGAAAAAACTGAGCTCTTTTTATGACCTGGCTCATGTCAATAAAATGGTATAATGTATTTCCTCAATTATGAAGCCTATCATTTTGCATGAAGAAGGAGGCTAGTAAATCAAAATACAAGAACATTAGTTTAAATTTTATATGACATTTGCAAATGGGGAGTAGAATAGTTTAAAAAAATTGTTTTGCTCTAAGTTAACATTGTCTAAAAAGACACTTTGAGGTTGAATTTTAATAAAATTAAATACAACATATTTGTTTAGAGTTTGTTTAGAGTTCCAGAACTTCTCTGGATCCCATTTAAAAGGACTTTAGTATGTCTTTAGTGTACCACAAGTTATGTTCCATCAGAAATATCCCACATCATCCTCTTTTTCTTTCTTTGGATATTTTATTATTTTTTATTTTTTTAGTTATTTTGTACTCATGTTTTTCTTTCTCAAGTTCTTTGTTCTTTTATTCTTTCATTCTTTTATCCCTTCACTATTTTTGTTTTAACCAAGTGCGAATCTAACTGCCATTTGATCAGATATCATAAGCAGTATACTTTCATACTGACTCATAATTTCCTCTTATAAGCTTGTTTAGTTAATTTCCTCTTAATTTTGCTATTCTTATGGCTTTCAATTAATAGTTATATTAGATGAGACAGGAATTTAAAAAGGCAATGTTCATATATTTTAGTTATACTATATTTTTGCTTCTGCACTCTTTTGCGCCCGGATAACTTTGCGTATGCTCACTGATATTTAACATATTTCTCTAATTTTTCTATTCATTGTTACCCTTCTTCCACAGTTAACATAAATTCCAACTTTATTTAGCTTGCTGTCTTTTTTTTTCTGACTTCTAGAAAACTTAAGAACAAATTTAGTGCTCAAACACACAAATTATATTAGCCCTTATGGTTTGCATATGGCTTTTTGATTATATATATATATGCATTCTATTATGTACACAATCTATTATATATATTCTTTATATATATAATAGACTCCATTTTTCAGAATCAGGAGGTCATGTCGCTCAAGCGACATATGGCTTATTGAAAGAAATAGCTAAGAAATGTGTCCATTACAGTGCTGTTTGTTACATTCTACAATAGAGGTAGCAGACTGTGTCATTGTGTTCAATAAGAAGAGTACCTGTTACTCAGAGCCAAAGATGGTGCTATTTTGGCTAAGTTCTGAAGGATATGTGGGGATTAATCAGATGAAGAAGGGAGAAGAGAAGCTACCCAGAGTGAGCAGGATATACATGTACTCCAATGTGAGAAAGAGTGTGGCGAGGTCTGGAATTTAGTCTGCCTGGAAACAAGTTAAAGTCATTAATTGGGCAGAGAAAAGAAGAAATTGGCAGGGGATGAAGAAGGAGAAAGAAACTTGAGGAAAGAGTAAAACATTCACATACTTACAGGACTAGACCTTAAAAAATAATATTTTAAAAAAATGTGATGGAAATACACCATAAGAATATAATATAATAGAAACCTATATGGAATCAGAAATTAGGTTATAAAGCTATTGCCTGTAAACCACAATTCCATTCTTCCATGCCCTAGTTTGTGATGCAGAGGCTGAGATTCTTTACATTTCTACCTGCTACTTTAAGTGATAACTTGCTCTATTCTGCTAACACAAGGGATCTAGAGAGTGTTGAAAAACGCAAGGAGATAAGAGACTCTCTTGTTTCTATTTGCTGGCTGCTTTTCCCACAGCAGATCTCCTCGGCCATTTGTTGGTTCCAGTCTCAGGCTCTATTTATTTATTTATTTATTTATTTCCTAGAACTTGCCTTTATGCCTTCCCTCAAAGGACTAGCAGCAGCCTGAGCCCCAGCTCTGCAGGTGTTTGCCCTTTTCTCTACCCTCTGATAAACTCAACCTTTTCCCCTTGTATCCCCCAGGCTTATGGGTAATAACTACTTTCTGGAATTACCTCTGGTGTAGCTCAGAGCTTTCGTTTTGGTATTTGGCCCCATGACAGATATATATTGTCAAATTAAATATCTTCTGTTAAAAATTTTAACATCAAGATTGTCTCCTGGGTGATTCAGTAAATTCAAATTTAAAATTTTAAAGCATGCAAATTTAAAATACAATAATACACTGTCATCAAATGTTACTTTTATAACTTCAGAACCACAAACCCATTTTTTCTATACTATGATGTAAATGCCAATTCTTAGTATATTTTTATTTGTAGGTCAGAGTTTATCCTTGAATTCTTTAATTTGATGTAGTACTTTATGTTTCTGTTTATTTTTGTTTTGTTTTATTTATGATTTATATAAGTTTCCATGATGGGAAATATCTCTTGGTAAATATTTCTTAAAATACTACCTGCTATGTAATCCATATCCAATGTTTGTTATCCACATGAATTAAAAGGGTATTGCAGCTGGAATTTGGCCAACAAAGATGTTATAATAAGAATGTTCTAAACTTGTTGTAATTTCATTAATTTATAATAATTTAATAAAATGTATCATGCTTTTAATACTCAATAGAATGTTACAAAAATAAGAGCTACAAATTATTATTTAACACACACTCAACTATGATTGCATACATTACCTCACTTGAGCCTAACAACTTATCAGAGCCTCAAAATGTAAAGAAGACTCATGAAGTAGATTTTTTTAATTGAGGATTTTTAAGTGCATGTTAAGTAAGTGATCTGTTTGATTTTAAAGCACAATTGCCTCTTTCAATTATGTAACATACTTCTTTTTGATAAGTAATTAGATTATCCCGATTTCAAATTGAAATGTTGTTTTTAGTTAAACAATAGAAATGGAACTTAATAAAATTATCCTAAAATCTTTATATTTAAATATGTTATAGATGCAGAACTTTTCTAACATATTTTAAAGTATTATATTTTAAAAATATTTTTAAACTTTGCTTGTATTACTATTGCATTTTGAAAAGTAAAAATGGCAACTTCCAGCTTTAAATTGTTTTAAACCACAAATTATAATTTTTATTTTACTAGGATAAGACTGGCATTATTTATCACGGATTAACTCATTTAAATGTGTGTATGTATATAGACACACACATATGTATATTTAATATATCTTAAAACTAATGACACCTCTTCTAGATCTGTGTCACAATGATGAGATGGTAGCACAAGATTCAATCTTCAGCCTTATTAAAGGAGGAAAAAAATTTAAGGAATAAAATATCTTTTAGACAGTATTGGCGGTATTTGCCTGAAACAAATTATGTGCTGACTTCACACTCAGGCACTCTTCTAAAAATTTCTTTTTCTTCTTTACATCGTCTGCTATTATTAATTTACTTATAGTTTCGCGCCTTTTGGAATTTACCATCATAAAAATTTCATTACATATTTTGATGGCATTGTATACAGTTATCATTTCTACTGCATAAGACTCATCATACTCTTATATATAAACTTAATGGAACTCTTAGACATGTTTCCCGGGAGATATGTTTGCTAATCTTCATAATACTGGAAATCTAGTGCTAAATCAAATGATATACAAATGCCAAATTTATTTCTGTACAAAACGGAATGTATATAAGCTTTGGTAACCTCATATAATGGAACATTATTACGAAGAAACTATAACTAAATGCCCTTTATAAATTATATTGGTAGTATAATGTTGATTTGGCTCCAATGACTGGAGGAACACCAAGGTTCTTTGTCTCGCGCCTGTTTAAATAAAACGACACAGACACACGTGGAGTGGTTTTGGGAGGAGAGTTTAATAGGCAAGAAAGAAGGAAGAGGATCCCCATACAGAGACAGAGGGAGGGGGACTCCAAGCCAAAAGAGGGAACCCTGAGTGCAGCTGAGAACAGCCAGTTATATTGTGAGGCTGGAGGAGGTGGTGTTTGATTTGCATAGGGCCCAGGGAAGTGGTTTGACCAGGTTTGTCACTCAAGTAGCCCTCAACAAAACTGACCCTCCCACCGTAGCCTTTTAATATGTAGAAGTGCAGGGTGCCATGATGTTCTATACACATGGGGATATGTGGGGGCAGCCATGCTGTTAGGCACATGTGGGGACAAGAAGAAGACCAGGGAATTGCCATATTTGAGTGGACCCACTTTCTAATGGCCGACATTTGCATATCAAGGCTTGCCGGCCTGGCTTTTCTGCTAGAAAAGAAATGCTTCTGGAGCTGCTTTAAAAGAAAAAAAAACTTCCCAAGGACCGCTTTTCCTCTCTATCTGCCTAAAATAATTTCTTAATAACTCCTATAGCAATATTGAGTAGAAAAAAATCCAGGAACATGCCTATTTTTTCCTGATTTTTTTTAAAAGTACAATTACACACACACACACACACACACACACACACACATATCTAAGAATATGTTAAGGCTTAACACGGAAAATATTTACTTAGTGGAGGGAGACAGGGGAGTGAAAAGAGTGGCAAGAGGTGAACTCTGTCAATATAGTTAGAGGTAAACTATGTCAACATTTTAGAACTCATATTAGTGGCTAAAATAAAGCAGCTTTATTCCAAGGATGATCGTTTATTAAGAAGAATTAAGAATGTCCTGAGAGATAGGTGCATGTCAATTTGGAGAAGCATATTAGTAAGGAGATCCATTTTATTGTTATGACTTTGATGAAAAATAGACTGGATGGAATTAACAGATTAGTTCCTTGTGAAACAACAACAATGCAACTCAGGTTAAAGTCACTAAGATCAAAGCATGGCTGAGTTAATAACTGCATTGATTTAAACCAAAGGCTATTTCCATAATTGATTTTAAATATGTGTAGTAAAATCAATGTAAATTGAAGTAAAAACATCTTTACTGAGGCATATGCAGAAAAGCCACACAAGATTATAGAGGCATATTTCCATATACTAATTATTTATCCTTTTATCTTTTATGTATCTATCTACACACCCACTTGCCTTTCAATCTACCTTCCTACCTATCTATCTTTCTGTTTTGTCTATTTATCTAAAAGTCTATTTTTGGTTTCTGCTGGTTTGTTTTGAGACAGGGTCTAGCTGTGTGTTCCAGGCTGGAGTTCAATGGCACTGTTATGGCTCACTGCAGCCTTGACCTCCGAAGCTTAAGCAATCCTCCTACCTCAGCCTTCCAAGGAGCTGGAACTATAGGCATGTGCCACCATGCCTGGCTAATTTTTTATTTTTTGTAGAGATGTGTCTCTCACCATGTTGCCCAGGCTGGTCTCGAGCTTCTGGGCTCGTGCAATCCTCTCACCTTGGCCTCCTAAAGTGCTGGGGTTACAGGTGCAAGCCACCATGCCTAGCCTAACATTCTGTTTTGCACAAAATTTGAGATGAAGAGCATTTGACCTGACCTTCCAATGGATGAACTTACAAGCATATCGTATGTCCTTTGAAAACTATACCACAGCTGGAAGTTGAAGAATTTTTAAAGTGTGTCTACATCTTCTTTAAAAATAAGTATAATTTTCTGCAATATGTAATAATAAATAGTTGTTATTCAGTTTGTCATTCAATTTGCTCTTGAATACATTTTTAAAGCATTGGTATCCTTTTCTAGGAATTACTTTATTTAATTAAATATTTTGTATATTCTGTCCATTTTACTTAATTGCTTATTAAAATAAAAATATAGAATAGCTGAATTATATACTGCAACTTTAAAAATTGGAAAGACAAGGAAAATATAACAATAGGAAATTAAGGTGATATATTAATAGGAAATGATAGGAAATCAATAATAAAATCTCAAAATGAAATTCTTGATAAACTAACAGAGGCATAAGAATTTGAAGAATGGGAATCTTCATAGGACTAATCATATATATTTACAAAATGTGAAGAATCAACAAGACTGGAAAGCATAACTTTCATTCATTTAACAAATTTATACTGACATCTGTATATTCACATGCCTGGGACACCATCCAGTTCATGTATTATCTAATATGAACTGGATGCTGTCCCAGGCATGTGAATATACAGATGTCAGTAAATAAAACAGACACCATGAAGCTTATATTCTTGTGGAGCAGAAAGAGAATAAACAATAAACATAATATATAAGTACATTATTTTCAATAGTTAAGTGGAAAAAGAAAAATTAAAGAAGAATAAGAAGAATTTAGGTGTGTGATTTGGAGATGGATATTACAGTATTTAGTAGAATGGACAAGGTAGGCCTTTTGAGACAATGGAGGGTTTTAGAATAGTCTTGGAAATGACAACTCAGTCAATTGTATCTGGGGAAAATATTCCAGGCACTGGGAATGGAAAGAATAAAAATACTCAGGAGATAATATGGAGTCATTCAAGGAACAACAAGGTGGCCAATTTGGTGGGCTAAGATGTTGTGGGAAGTCATGGACCCTGAATGGAGGGAGCGGCTGGAGCCATGGCAGAGGAACATAAATTGTGAAGATTTAATATTAATGTGGACATTTATTAGTTCCCAAATAATACTTTTATAATTTCTTATGCCTGTCTTTAATGTCTTAATCCTGTTATCTTCATAAACTGAGGATGTACGTCACCACAGGACCACTGTGATCATTGTGTTAACTGTACAAATTGATTGTAAAACATGTGTGTTTGAACAATATGAAATCAGTGCACCTTGAAAAAAACAGAATAACTGCGATTTTTATGGAACAAGGGAAGACAACCATAAGTTCTGACTGCCTGCAGGGTTGGGGAGAAAGAGCCATATTTTTCTTCTTTCAGAGAGCCTATAAATGGATGTGCAAGTAGGAAAGATATCACTAAATTCTTTTCCTAGCAACAAATATTAATATTAATACCCTGGGAAAGGAATGCATTCCTGGGGGGAGGTCTATAAACGGCCATTCTGGGACTGTCTGTCTTTTTTTTTTTTTGAGACGGAGTCTTGCTCTGTCGCCCAGGCTGGAGTGCAGTGGTACAATCTCAGCTCTCTGCAAGCTCCAATTCCCGGGTTCAGGCCATTCTCCTGCCTCAGCCTCCCAAGTAACTGGGACTACAGGCGCCCGCCACCATGCCTGGCTAATTTTTTTGTATTTTTAGTAGAGACGGGGTTTCACTGTGTTAGCCAGGATGGTCTCAATCTCCTGACCTCATGATCCTCCTGCCTCTGCCTCCCAAAGTGCTGGGATTACAGGCATGAGCCACCACACCCAGCCAGGGAATGTCTGTCTTATGAAGTTGAGATAAGGTCTGAGATACGTCCTGGTCTCCTGAAGAACCCTCAGGCTTGCTAAGGTGGGGAAAAATTCCACCCTGGTAGATCTGTGGTCAGACCAGTTCTCTGCTCTGGAACCCTGTTTTCTGTTGTTTAAGATGTTTATCAAGACAATACATGCACCACCACTGAACATAGACCCTTATCAGTGGTTCTGCTTTTGCCTTTTGCCCTTTGCCCTGTGATCTTTGTTGGACCCTTATCAGTGGTTCTGCTTTTGCCCTTTGCCTTGTGATCTTTGTTGGACCCTTATCAGTGGTTCTGCTTTTGCCCTTTGTCCTATTCCCTCAGAAGCATGTGATCTTTGTTGGACCCTTATTACTGGTTCTGCTTTTTACCCTTTGAAGCATGTGATCTTTGTACCTACTCCCTGTTCTTACGCCCCCTCCCCTTTTGAAACCCTTAATAAAAACTTGCTGGTCTGAGACTCAGGTGAGCATCACGGTTCTACTGATATGTGATGTCACCCCTGGCGGCCCAGCTGTAAAATTCCTCTCTTTGTACTGTCTCTCTTTATTTCTCAGCCAACCAACACTTATGGAAAATAGAAAGAACCTACGTTGAAATATTGGGGATGGGTTCCCCCAGTACTAAGAGAACAAATAGTAGAGGATATCAGAGATAAGATAGTGGGATGTGATGGGTTACAATGTAACCTTACATATCATTTGGGTCCTTGTAGGCATTTCTAAAGATTTTGGCTTGTAACTCTGAATGAAATGGTGTGCCTGTACAGAAATTTGAACACAGGAGCAGCATGCTATTATTTGCAATTTAAAAGGATCTCTGGATTTTGTATTGAGAACAAACTATAGGATAGAAATATGGCTAGAGCAGTGTGACTGTCTGGGAGTCACAGTGATAGTCAAAAGATGATGATGGTGGTGCCAGTGCTTAAAAATGTGCATTATAAAGGTAAGTCCTACAGTTGTGACACTTTGGCAACAATCAGAACATCAAATAAGTGCTCCAGTGTTGTCATGATGAAATACTTCACTAAACTCAGTGAATGAGTTGATGTCTCTAATATGAGAGATGACTATATGATACAAGAGATGACTATATAAAACAAAGCATTATAGTGAGTATAAATGAAGAACAAATATATCATGACATTTACTTCATTTGGCAACAAGATTAAATCACTATCTGAAAATTACACATACTCTTTTGGCGTACATGAATAAATAAATATGTCAAAGAATCATTGATATATCTGAATGCTCTAGAACATAGACTCCAGAGCTTAAGCAGGTTGTTTCAGTCACTGCTTTATCACCAGACTTCAAAACATTACATAAAATAAGAGACTCCATCCATAATAATTTGTTGAAATAAGTATTGAATGAACAAAAGACTTATAATCTGTTATGCCAGGTAGATATTTAAAAAGAAAATTACTATTTCAGGCATAAAAATGTGCTATTTTAATTGCTTTACTTCTTTAAAAATTGTGATTTTATATGCACCAAAATATTATTAAATTGAGATTCAAAATTTAGTTTCACTTTTTTTTTTTTTTTTTTTTTGAGATGGAGTCTTGCTCTGTCACCCAGACTAGACTACAGTGGCACGATCTCGGCTCACTGCAACCTCTGCCTCCTGGGTTCCAGTGATTCTTCTGCCTCAGCCTCCTGGGTAGCTGGGACTACAGGAGCGTGCCACCATGCCTGGCTAATTTTGTATTTTTAGTAGACACGGGGTTTTGCCATGTTGGCAAGGCTCGTCTCAAACTCCTGACCTCAGGTGATCTGCCCACCTATACCTTCCAAAGTGTTGGGATTACAGGCGTGAGCCACCATGCCTGGCCTTACTTTCACTTACTAAAGCACCATTTATTTTTTATTGAAATAGACTATAACTTTTAGTTTTTGAATTATATTATTTATAGAACATATCAAAACATATTTTAAGAGGTACAGAATTTCACCCAAACTTAGATAGTCTGTTTCTTATATAACACAGCATATATATACATGCCTGATTTTTAAGACAATTTGAAATATTTCATTCCTGTCTATCTAGCTATCTATCTAGCTAGCTAGCTGTCTGTCTATCTAGATATCTAGCTAGCTAGCTATCTGTTTGTCTATCTACCAAACTACAATCTGTCTGGATGTTTCTTCATGATATGTCAAAGAACATTTTTTAAAATTCAAAATATATTAATTCTGTGTTGTTATGTCAACTTAAATTGTACGGTTAGTGCTAAAACTTAATTGTAGAGTTAGTGCTAAAACTTAAAATGTGACATAAATTGAAACATCTTGTTAGAATTTTGTAGATATATATATATATATAAAATATATTATTGACAGAGCTTCACCATAAGCTACTCAGTATGTAAACCAGAAAGCACATTCTGAATAAGGCAACTTTCTACAATCAAAGAAGATCAACTGTGAGGTTGAATAGCACATAATTAAATAAATAGGTGCTTAAAAACTACCTAGAGGCTTTTAGGGAGTATAAAATATGTATCAGACTATAGATACCATATATGAATAGTATTAGTTAAAGTGAAATGTGACTGATGATATGCAAAAATAAAAAAAACTTACTGGAAAATCTTGAATTTGCTAATGTGTCTTTCTTCAAAATACTAATATAGTTTTATTCCATGGTATATATGTAAAAGCCTGTCAAATTTTCCTGGTATACCTTACTTGCTAGACAGTATTGGCAAGGGATAATTAGCCAACATATTTTAATTTAGTTTTGAAAATTTATCAAACCCTATAAAGCATTAAATAAGGCACAGGCTTTTCCATTGTTTAACAAACAATGCTTGCTTCGGAAGTTTTTGAAGCCAATACAACAAACTCAGAATATTTGGGGAGTTTTTATTTTGTCATTATTTTGGTAACCGAAGGCGTATGCTATTTTTATCTGCAAGGAAATCAGAAGCCTGGAAGATTTTTTTCTCTAACTGTAGTGAAATCAGGGGACTATAAACCAAGGCTTCATGGGACCATATGGGCAGAAACTCCCTGGTCTTGGCAAGAAATGAGCCTTCGGGGAATGAGCCTGTTGAGAAACCAGAACATTAGAGATACTGAAATAACATTTTATTTGCAAAAAAAAAAAAGTATTTTAGTGCATAAGTTTATACCTTAGCACCGCTTTCTGATACTATTAAAACCCTCAAAACCTGAGTAGAAAGTACTAATATCCACATCAAAATACTCTTGAGAGTTCCTTCTATGATTCTTTTTTGCCTACTCATGTGAATAGTAATCATCATAATAATTGTAAATGAAAATATAAAACTGTTTCATCAAATCATAGAAAATGTAGTCTTAAAAAAAACAATCAAACAGAAAAGAAAATGCTGGTCTTATTATCATTTAGAAATCAATATATTTGTATGACTCTTCATTGCCAAATTTATTTCATTTTGCTTTCACAGGTTTGTAAAGGTCTAATAGTATTTTTGATATGTGCTTAGTATGCTCAAAAATCTTTATGACTAGATTTTAATAAGACAGTCTGAAGAATACATATTCCTAAAGTATTTCTAAAGTCAGCATTTCTATACTTTTTAACTGATCGTAGGATAGTTAAATGATTAACAGATACATTGTATTGATACATAGATATAAATACAGTAAATTTTATAAAAACAAGTGAAAAATTGTTTAGATAAAGAAACATTTGCATGTAAAGTATACCACTAGTTAAACAAAAAGAAACCCATTTTCCTGTATCATTTATATTTCTGTGTGGATAATTGAATCAGCTCCTCCTTAATTTTCTTATAAAATATTCAATATAAATTGCATTCAAAATTCCTGAAAAACTATCATTTCTCAGTGGGAAACTTGTATTCTGTTGTTTTTACAACGGGCAAAGTGGTTAAAAATGAGTTTTCCTCCACCTGTTAGGTACTTAACACCAAGAAAGGAACAATTTATTCCTAAAACTTATTCTAATAAATAGAATGAAAATTATGAACGACTTCAGTTTTCAACATCCTATCCGAAGTTAAAACACTATAACTTCAGCTGTTTCCTTAGTTGTCATTGTTCTTTCCAGTAAAGTATAAGTGCTTTTGTAAATCATGTAGCTTGCACCAAAAAAATTACTCTCTACATTATTATACTTATGGTCAATTATTCTAAAACATATGTAATATCAAACTCATGATACATGTTAAAATTCTGTGGTTCCTTTTATTTCGAAGTGTGTATATGTGCTTTTGTCTGTGTGTATTTTCAATAGTATATTCTGTTGGCTAAAATGCAAAATTACAGTTGCTATTTTGGCTTATTTTATTTTCCTTGCAATTAGTATGTATTCATAGAGTTAGCATGTTGTTATAAACATATTATTGGAAAATCAAAATCTTCCATTTTCTTATTTTGAAAATTTTCTGATATTTTTATTAACAAAGTAGCGTCCAAATTTACAAGTCATCACATGTAAAAAATACAATAGTTAACAAAAAAGATAAAATCTATTTCAATAATATGAAAATCTGTAGACACAGACATATTCAACATTTTGTAACCTAAGATTTGGCAAGTTCTAGTGAGACATAGAATAAAGGAAGTTCTTTGTGTTGAAGAAATTCTTATGCCATTCTTGAGAATCTATTTAAATATAACTGCCTAAGCATTTTTTTTCTTATAGTGTATTTCCATAGTTAATCCTCTTACTTACTGGACTTATTCCAGATTCTTTTATTATAAGTAATAAAATCATAGGAATACTCTACACTAGCACTTTAGAACTAAACCTGATTTCTCTTATTTGAGCTTAGCAATTTTCCCCGTCATGTTTTTGAAAAAGAAAAAATCAAGGACAAAAATATTAGTGAATAAGACTTCCTGTGTCCCTCCAACAAAGAAAAATCCAAAACATCAATATTGTCAAATAGGGATCCAATTTAAGCTTGACATTAAATAATGAAAATTGCTAAATATTAATGTTTCTTTATGTGAACATATTGAAATAGCCAGTTGGTAAACATAGTAAGTTACAATTAACAGCCTGAAATCAGATTGTTAAACAATTCTAGTAAGAGCTGGTCTTTTAAAGGATTAATCTGCGAAAAAATATGCTACTTTCGGTCTCTCAAAACTTGTGCCAAAACATTTAATATATAAATCTCGGAGAACCATTTTTTTCCACATATAGATGGTGATATACATCTGTAAATCTCAATAAAATTACAAATGTCCCTATTCATTAAAAAAAAAAAAAAAAAGTCATCGTGTTAAGACCTGGGGTTTCAGTAGCGAGCTACGCAGTTTGCTGCTATCTTCGTGGAGCTTTGTGGGAGTTCATGTCAGGAAAACATTAAACACTTCCATTCCTCTTCTCCACTCTTCTGGTGTCAGAGAGGCTCCATAAAGATCTGAACCTTTACCAACACCTTGCAACTATAATGTAGTAGTATGCATTAGCCCTTTGCTTCCTTCTTTCTGATTGCAGGGGGCCTAATGGGAGCTGATATAATATTCCCACATGGAGACAATGAGAGATGCATGGCAGCCTTCTACTTTCACCAGGGAAGTGTCAACGAGGCCCAGAAAAGTTCTGACCTTTACCACATATTTGTGCAATAAAGTAGTATGAGTCATTGCCAATATTTCTCATGAACTTGGATGTAGAGCTTCAAGGAAATATTAGCAAATCATGTATGTATGTAAATATACAAACATACATCCCTATGCACACACACATATATATAGAATTATACACCATTATAGACCGTTGTCAATTATACACTATGTCCAGCTGGGATTTATTCCAAGTGTGTAAGACTGCTTCAATATTCAAAAATAAATCTGTATAATCCACCATATTTACAGGCTAAAGAAGAAAAATCAATTGGTCACATCAATGGATGCACACAAAACCATTGACAAAATCCAACACCTATTCATGATAAAAACTTCTGGCAATCTAAGCAAAAAAAAGTTTCTCAATTTGATAAAGAATACTTATCAAAATATACTACACTTAATTGTGGAAATATTGAATGTTTTTTCTCTGTATTTGGAAATAAGACCAATAAGGAGAATGACACAATAGATCTTTGTGATAATGTAACTATTCTGTACGTTCCTTGTACCATATCAGTATCCTAGTAGAGACATTTTAATATATGTTTTCAAGGTGGAGGGAAATTGGTTAAAAAGTATGCAAGATCTATGTGTATTTCTTTCAACTGCATGTGCATCTATAATTTTCTCAAAATAAAAATTTTAATTAAAAACACAACATGAAGATAATATTGGAAATCATTATGATGGTTTTTATAGCAATCATATATTTTTAGGGCTTCTCACAATTTCAGTAACAAAATGATTAATACATTTCCAGTAAAGTTGAAAAGAAGATGAAAACAAAAGTTTCCACAATGCTATGAAGAATTTACCAATTTTGTTGATAATTAAAATATTTTTAAATTGTGTTTAATGATTATTTCAAAGAACATTTTAGAAAAGGAGGTGAAATCCCTGGGGACATTCTTAAGGAATAATTATTATAGGTCTAGCCAAAATAAGATATTTTTACTTGCTTGTTTGTCTTTTTCTTGAAACAAACTGTCTGATTGAACAGAGATTGCAAGATAATAATGGGTAATAACTAATTCTAATAATAGAATTAGTAACTAGAACCTACATCCTGAAAGAGGATTTATGAATCATTTAGTGGAGATTTTTATTAATATATTTTCTGTGCATAATTTGGTTATAAAAATTGTCCATTTTTTCACATAGGTATGCCATACATAATTTGTACACAGAAATTATAGCACAACTTACAACTCTGGTCTTCTGGGATCAGAAAGGTAGTGATCTACACATTTTTAAAATTTGCCTGCTACAAATGCTTTAAAAGTTTTGGATGAAATATAATAAACATCCATGCAATGAAGAGTTGAGCTCACAAAGGAATAAAGAAAACTTTAAGTAGGTTGGGATGGGGCAGTGGTAGTTGAAAACCGAGTTATAAAATCATGTTGTTATTCCAGATGTCTGTAACTGAGAAACTTGGTATATTGCCCATGAAAGCTTGAAAATAAAACTTGCACTCTCACAAGGCAGTGGATTAGAGCTAAATCTAAGTAGAAGTACCTTACAGACTCAATTAATAAAAATATCCACTCAATTTCTAAAATTGATTGTTTTAAGCTAGACGCTATCTGAAGAAATTATATGTGAATATTTATAACCACAAGCTGGTTATTACAACGATTTAGGTTTTTCCTGGGCATTGCCTGCATGGTCTGGGTAAACTCATTGTGAGAAAACAGCATTAAAAATGATACCACATTGATAAAAGTTCTGAGGTTTAAGTCTGGAAAGCCAAAAGCAAATATTTTTAGGATGGAAACACTATTAACTCAGATATGTTCTATAATAAGTACTATAAAACTACATATACCCCTGCCATATGATTCAGCTATCAACCTCCTTGGTATTTACCCAAATAAGCTGAAAACTTAGGTCCACTAAAAACCCAACACATGGATGTTTTTAGCAGCTTTATTTATAATAGGCAAAACTTGGAAGTAACCAATATGTCATTCATTAGGTGAATGAATTAACTGTAGTATATCCAGACAATGAAGTATTATTCAGCACCTAAAAAAAATAAGCTACCAAACCATTAAAAGACACAGGTGAAATGTAATTGCATATTACTAAATGGAAAAAGCCAACCTGAAAAGGCTACATACTATATGATTCCAACTGTATGACATGATGGAAAAGGCAAACTCTGGAGACATTTTTTTTTTAAAAAAAGCAGAGGGTAAGGTGAGGGAGGAATAAATAGGCAGAGTACAGAGGATTTTTAGGGCAATGAAATTATTATGTATGATGCTATAATGGTGGTATCTGTCATTATACATTTGTTCAAAAGCATAGAATGTACAAGAACAAAAAATGAAAACTAATTTCAACTATGAACTTTATTAAAAATGTAAACTTTGGATAATAATGTTGTATCAATGGAAGTTTATCAACTGTAACAAATGTACCACTCTGGTGGGGGCTGCTGGTAACGGGGAAAGGGGAATATAGGGACTCTCTATACCTCTTGCTCAATTTTGCTGTGAAGCTAAAGCTACTATAAAAATATTGTTTATTAAAGAAAAGTGTAAAGTGACCAAGACAAAATTTTATAGAAAATACCTGGAATAACATTTTGCAATCTGTGATTATATTTAATTTGAAATCTACCTGAATGACTTCAGCTGAAATCTGAAACACATAGAACAAGGCACACTGGGTACAGTAACTTTGAGGAGTTCCAATCTTGCTGATGTGTCTCTAGTTACATCTCTGTTTTACACACTTTGTTCCAACACCAACAGAATACAAATTATTTTAAGTGGGTTCCTCTGCTGACAGAGACCTTTAGCGAAAAGATATATTTGACATGGATAATTGAAAGCCAGCTAATGAAGAACAGTGAAACCAGCTTGGTAGAATGTTAATTAGCCACCTTCATTTATTGGAAAAAATGAAGTTTTTACATGTTACACTTTAACAATCAACTTCTTCTATGTTAATATTTTATACTTAATGGGGTGCGATAAGATTTGAATAAATATAGTCATTGTTTTTCACAAATTAAAATGTATGGTCAATTATTGATCCAGATCTGTTTATTTCTCATGCATGATTTTCTAAGATTTAAAAGATGCTTTCTGCCTTTTCTCTTATAAAGAATATCAAAAGATTAAAAGAAATCATGAAACTTTGTCACATTACCTATATGCAACTTTCCCTTTTAATTTTATTTAGTAATTAGAAGATCTAATATTCTTTACAACAACAGATGAAGAATGAATCCTTTACAGGTAAAACAAATTGTCTTTTTGTTGTACTTTAAAAGTGTAGATGCTATACCTAAACAGCGATAGATTTGTTAAATCGATGAAAGTATACTCAGGGCTAATGTCAATATAAATTCCGGACACTTTGAGTGAAGAGTAAGCTTTACTGGAATACTTCCAATCAAACACTTTTATCATGTGGAAAATTTTATGTAGCAACTGAGTGAAAATGTGTTTTCTCATGAGTTATTTCTATTTATTGATCCTTCCTATTTGTTTGACTTGCTCCTGATGTATTAAATCTTTCTCGTCTTCAACGACAATCATTTTCCTCAGGAATTCTATCACTTTTGGTTTCTTTCAGTTTTGATGCTTAAAATTTGCCATTACTGGTGTGATTCTTCAATTAGCACTTCTCTACTGAGGCAGCCTTCTGAGCATTTGCTGGTCTTGTTTTGTTTTGTTTTGCCTTAGTGTTCATTAAAAACAGGATTAATTAATAGTCTCTGATAATTTTATGAATAATCCTTTTTTATCTTCATTCAGATATGTCTGGCATACGATGATGCCAGAATATAAAGTTTATGTGAATGTTAGACCAAAAAAGAAATACTTTGTCAAAAATCAGCAGTTCTAGAAAAAAAAAGTAATGGGATGATGCAGCTATCAGAATCTTCATTAGCAGTACCTTCTATTTTTAGCTGGGTGTGGTGACTCATGCCTGTAATCCCAACTACTCGGGAGGATGTGGTGGGAGGATTGCTTGAGGCCAGGAGTTCAAGACCATCCTGGGCAACACAGGGAGGCTCCCATCCCTAAATTTGTTTTCAAAAATTAGCATGGTTGCACACATCTGTAGTCCCAGCTACGTGGGAGCCTAATGCAGGAGAATCACTTGAGTCCAGGAGTTCCAGGCTGCAGCAAGCTATGACTCTGCCACTGTACTCCAGATGGAGAAACAGAGCAACACCCACTTTCTAAAAAAAAAAAAAACCAGAAACAATACAGTACCTCCTATTTTGCAAACATTTAACAGTTTAGCTGGATAAATATTAAACTAGGAGAGTGGGCTTGTCATTCGTGGTCAAATTATAAGTAAAATTCCCCATAAGAACTTATATAATGAATATTAAAATGACAGATGTATCATTGATTAAATAAATTAACTTTGTATACAAACATGTTATTAAGGTATTGTTACAAATGTAGCTTTCACATTCTATTTTTTAATGTAAGTTTCTATTATTAACAAAAAGTCCATAGATGGACAGATCCAGTTATATTTCACTGATAGATCTAGTTATATTGCAATTAACATGTCGATAGAAATAAAAATAGTGATAGCAGTGAATATATTAAAAAAGTTAAATGTTGAAAATTTTTATTTAATTGACTGTGTTACTTTATCACAATATCAAAATAAAAAGAAATTTTTTTTTTAGAAAAACAGTCATAAATTTTAGAATGACATCTGTTTTTTCACTCTGTGAAAAGGGTAGGCACTCTTATTACAGTGTAATGTAAATGAATGAGTTTTGACTAGCAAAAAGGGAAGAAAAAAATGTTATTTTTAAAAGTTGCTGGCAGTTTAAATGACTTGCTCCAAGAGGGTGGCAGAATTATTCACAGAAAGAAAATTTACCTTTGTTAAAACAAACCAAAACATACCTTGCTTTGCCTCTTCGGTGATGAAAAGCAACGCTTGTTTGTTATTACCTTCGCAGAAAGTATTTAAATAAATAAGGATTAAATTGTTTTGTAAAACAATGCAACAGGGATTTGGGGCTTGACAGGTGATGGTTTAAAAATAGAGTGGATAGGCGGGTCACCTTGGCTCACGCCTTTAATCCCAGCACCGTGGGAGGCCGAGGCAGGCGGATCAAGAAATCGAGACCAACATGGCCAACATGATGAAACCCCGCCTCTACTAAAAATACAAAAATTAGCTGGGCGTGGTGGCGTGCTCCTGTAGTCCCAGCTACTCGGGAGGCTGAGGCAGGAGAATTGCTTGAACCCGGGAGGCGGAGATTGCAGTCAGCCGAGATCACACTACTGCACTCCAGCCTGGGCTACAGAGTGAGACTCAATCTCAATATATATATATTTTAATATATATAAAATATATATTTTTATATAAAAAATATATTATATATAAAATATATAAAATATATTATATATTATATAAAATATATATAATATATAATATATATATAATATATATAATATATAATATATATAATATATATATAATATATATAATATATAATATATATAATATATATAATATATATAATATATAATATATATAATATATATATATAATATATATAATATATAAAATATATGATATATAAAATATATTATATATAATATATAATATATATAAAATATATGTGTGTATATATATGTGTATATATATGTATATGTATGTGTATATATATAGAGAGAGAGAGTAGATACAATGGAAGATAATATGGGAAGAAAGTGGAGGTAAGGCTGAGGTGGGCAGGAAGGGCTGGGGCAGGGTGAATTACGTCATACTTAGGGGATGTTTGTATCTTCTTCCGTGCTGTGATGGCCTAACCACTGAGACTTTATAAACGACCAGACACAGCTTTCAATTTAAAGTTGTTTTCTGCCTGTGTAGTAATTACCCTCTTTTACTGTCAAACACCTGGTAATGATCTATCACATACAGCAATAGGTTTCAGAGATGCTTTGGGCAATGGAAGAAGTAAGAAGGTGGGCCAAGAGGTTCTATTAAGATTCACCAACAGCATGAACAGAGGCCTAACATCAATGCTTAGGTGAGAGACTGAGAGTCTTCAACCTTGGAGGAAGAGATGAAAGCACCAGTCTCCTCAGGGTCAATCAATTTATTTTTTCATGTAAATAAACTGAAAGAGTGAGTAGTGAACAACATAGAAACTATAGTTTAACAATATTGAGGATGGTTTATAGAGGTATTAGCAGTTTGTAACAATTCATGATAAATTAATATGATATTGAAAAGCCATCTTTTTCTATTTTCTATTGAAATATTTAAAGAGATCTGAGTAGTTTTGAGAGAGAAAGAAAAAAACTTAGCAATATGCAAATATATTTATATATTTTAGGTTATTCGTTGGATAATATATTCATAATAAAATTACAGATATGCATATGTATCTTAATAATTTAAAAGAAGCAAACACACAAAAGAGCTACAATTTAAGAGACATTTCAGGTAAGTACAATGATATATTTCCACAAACCCAGATCAGGCATGGGCTTAATAATTCTCATGCGTTTTCAATTTAAGTCTTCAGAAAATTAATCACTTTAAACAATTTTATGTGCTGAAATAACATAGCTTTTTTATTACACAATTATTAGGCATGACATGGTAAAGTTGTTTCAGTACTTTCATGACTCTCAGATGTATAATAGATTGCAGCTCTGTATAGCAGTTTTTTTTTTTTTTTTTTTTTTTTTTTGAGACGGAGTCTCGCTGTGTCGCCCAGGCTGGAGTGCAGTGGCGGGATCTCGGCTCACTGCAAGCTCCGCCTCCCGGGTTCACGCCATTCTCCTGCCTCAGCCTCCCAAGTAGCTGGGACTACAGGCGCCCGCCACTACGCCCGGCTAATTTTTTGTATTTTTTTTAGTAGAGACGGGGTTTCACCGTTTTAGCCGGGATGGTCTCGATCTCCTGACCTCGTGATCCGCCCGCCTCGGCCTCCCAAAGTGCTGGGATTACAGGCGTGAGCCACCGCGCCCGGCCTGTATAGCAGTTTTAACTAGAAAGCATAATGCATTTCTTTATCTTGTCAGCATAGGTTTTCTTTATAAAAGCTTTAGATAATACAAGAGAACTTGTGTGACAACAGGAAACATTTTTAATGATATGGTTTATTGACCTGTGCATATAATAACTGTAATCTGAAATGTGAGAATGATTTTAAAGTACCCACCTAAAAATAGAAGATAGATTTTGTAGAATATAAATAAGCAGATAACATTAATTAAGCTCACTGAAATTACTTGAATGAGAATATATACCATGTATATAATGATTTTCAAAATTGAATGAATGAATATTGGCTTATGAAAAAATAAACTTTGATTTTTAAGCTCCTATTATCATTAATTTTAACAGCATAATAAATGACATTGATGTTTTTACTGAAATGGTTTATTGTTACAAATAGGTTTCATAATACATACAAAATAATTGGTCACAATCTATAGAAGATCTGCTTTTTAAAAAAATTCCAGAAAGTGTACTATTTTACCTTTCTTTATTTTAATGTATGAGTAATTACAGCTAACTGAGATGTAGAAAAGAAGAGTAAGCAGAATGTATTATTTTACAAATATGTCAGTGAGAGTAAAAACTAAGATAGAAACTTATTTTCAGTACAATAAATATCTAGGAAAGGAGGAAAATCCTTCAAAATTCCATGATGGTTATTCTGTGTGTGTTGTGAAAGACATAGTGAATAGTGTTCGACCTTGAAAATAGTGGTTCCATTGTATTGGTTATTCAGTCTCATTAAGAAGTAAAGTATATAATGATGAAACAGAAGAACAATACAGTTATACTCCAAATCAAGTTGTTTTCAAAGGTATCTAAAATTTAAAGGGTTAGGGAAAGTTATCAACAATTTTCTAAAATAAAGTTAGGTTTACGACAACTCTATATTTTCCATTTTTTACATGTAAGTGATTTTAAGAGTTGTCTTTATTTTCAAGTGGTTAGTATTCTGTACTCAATAAATTTTATGACAAATGACTCAAAAAACAATCAATATTTAAGATAATTGACATGAGAACAAATGGGTAATGTGTAGTTGTAAAAATATATGTTTGTGGTGAAATGATAAAGTATAATAATGTTTAGAAAGTTTGTTTCTAGAGCTAATAGTTTATCACATCTTTCTTGCATGTTAAAAGAGTTGAAAGTCATTAACCCATTCCTATTTATCAGTAGTAAACCATGTTAACCAAAAAGAGAGTTATTATAGTGGTTGCAGAAATGTGCTCACTTTCTCAAGTGAGCAAAGTTATGGAGGACAACAATGCTGCAAGCAAAAACAGGAAAAAGTGATGAGGTCACAAGAGAGGTGTATGTGTGTGCAGCAGAGTGTATAGGGAAGGAAATAGGTAGAAATGAAAGAGGAGATCAAGGGCAAAACATTAATGTGTACTGACAAGCAAACATTAACGGGTAATGGGCAATAAAGTTTTAAAATAGGGGTCTCCCAATCTAAAAGGTATTGATTTTTGTATTTTTATTGCAAGACAGAAGACACGGAAATTATATTACCAGCACTTAAGTCATTTAAATATCCGTGCTTTGCTTAAAGGAAATAAAAAATTAATGGTAGACATTATTCCACCTGGTGCTAAAGTCATGCTTTAGTCAAAAATTATGTGATTAGGAAGGTGTTTAAAACTTTCAGGCCATATTTTTTCTTAGTAATGACCTTGATGAATGAATGCATTTTGTTTTATGCTCATTTCTTTATTTCCAGATGTTGTTAAATTTTCCTAAAGACTTAGAAGGATTTCTTTTTCAGATTTCCTTATTGTAAAATTATTTGGCTCAAATTTCAATATTTAAAAAGATTTAACTGTTTAAAGTTTTCATATCACCACTAATAGCACACACACTACAAACACCTACATTCCATTGGGTATATGTTGCTCTGGATACCATAAATATAGTAACTTGTGCTATCTGATTGATATTTTTTCTGCATGCCTTAGAATATGGCTTTTCCCCTTTCTCTGCATACATTTTAAATTCCTACGTAAATCTGAAACTTAATACTTGTATACTGATACGTATTTTATTTTGTTTTGAATCCAAGTGTTGGTGACTGAATAAAATAATACAATATTTATTAATATGTTCTTTAACCAAATGAATATAGTTTATAAATAATCCCTCTTTAATACATTATCATAGCATAATTGTTAATTGTCTAGTAAACAGCATGTGCTATAGTGACAATAGCACATCACACGCAATTTAATAGTTGATTATCATTTGGAAGATGTTGGTTACTTTAATGTGTAAGTAAGGAATATAAGTAGGTATTAAATATTGCTAATGACTCATTTAGAAGCAAACATGTCCTACTACTTTTCATTTAGATATTTTGATTGGCATTTAATGAAAATTTCATAAAAGTTGCAGGTGAGTTATTAAAAATGGTAGTCTGCTATCATTTTCTATATTATGCTTGAAGCAGTGTTTTCTTTGTTCCAAACAATAAAAATAAAATGCAGAAATAGGACCAGATATTGATGCTAATACAGAGTTTCAAAATGTATCCACAATATTTCATTTCAAATATTTGTTTTTATCAATATAATCTCATTCTTCTTATATTTTGAAATTACATTAAATAAATACTGTTAACTAAAGTTGTAAATAATCTTACTTGGGAAAAATATTGAATATTAAATATATTTAATATTCCCCAACATATGATTTTTTTATTTTGAAAAAAAATTAGTAAATAATAATGTTTCAGTAATAGTACCTCCCTTTTGTCTAGAGAGTACTTTGTCTAGATTGAAATGTTTTGTTTATTATTTTGAAAAACCTTCTTTTGATATGTTAATTGGCAATATAAGAGCATTTAACTTTAATCTAGTGTAAGATAGAAACTCCTTTCCTTCCTTTTCTACACCTTTCAGAACATATTTGGGGTACATATTAATTATGTGCAGTATCCTTTTAGCAGAACCTCTGCTTTCAAAAGAAAGGAACAGTCTTGGGGAAGAGTATTTTACTTTTTTAGTCATTTGACCTGATAATTTTTCTTATAAAGAAGGTAGAAAAATAACTGCCTTACCATTCTCACAGGGTTTCTGTAACAACCAACTGAAATAATAAATATATATGTGTACTTGATACCCAATGTATATTTATTAAACATAATAATACCTTGTATAGAAATTTTAAATTATAAACATAATTCAAATTATGTGTTCATTTGAATCCTAGGACAATAGGACAAAATTTCTCCTCCTCTTTGAGAATTTCTCACAGTCTCTTATTTACAATATTACTGATTTTCTTAATGTCTACTGCTCCTTCTAATTTGGATAATATGTATTGACATGTACCTTTTCTGTGTATAGGTAATCACAATAAATATTTTCTGAATTCTTTCTCATAAAAATGTTATTAGATACATATTCTCATATACATACATGTACACATATGAAAACTACATGTGTATAGGCATGTATGCAAAAATACATACGTATATATAAATTACCTGGATATTTTCTATTGAAATCATTTCTCTTTAAAAACAGCAATATTTCTAGATGTATGCTAACTTACTCGTCCTACTAGATAGGTTATAAGGTTTTTACAATTCTATGGTGTGCAATCCAGGTTAAACAAGTGATTATTGAATTTCTGTGATGAAAAGTGCTTACATGGTAATATACTTATTGACTCCATCTAAAACTGCAAGATGACTGTCCTTTATAACACTTACTGCATCAGAAAACCCACTACCTCCCTTTGGAGATGTTCACTGTGCTGCCTTTATGTAATATATAAATGTCAGGAATTTTTGGAAATGTGAAATAGAATAATGCAAACTGGCCTTTCAATGAGCTGCTACTTTTCTTTAAACATTCTAAAATAGTTTTTTTGCATGTGATTGTGCTTGAAATGATTATACTCCTAAGAATGGAATATATTTTATTTTCTTCCTTCTTTACAGTTTTCTTCTGTATCTGTGTACTTAAAAGTACCACTGCCATTAATAATTTGAAAATAATATTTCTAATATAAAACTTCTACTTCTAGACTTCAGTTATTACTTCATACCTTTTAAAATCAATTTCTACAGATTATAACTCAGAATAAACTTGAAAGAAGAATATAGAAATTCTCTTTTTTTAAACTTGCAGAATTTCGTGTTTCATGAATGATTGTCAGCTAGTTAATGCATTAAAGGATTATCCCTCATGGGTAGTTACTTAAACATTTTTTTCTTTAATTTGGTTTTACTCCTGAAAAAGATTATTTCCACATGAGATGTGTATATTTCATCCTCACCCTGCATAAAATTAGAGGTACCATTAGAGATGGATGAACTACTTTAAAGAAAATTAGCTTAAAACTAAGCTTTCTTCCAGAAAAGCAATACAATCTTAAATATTTTCTGAAAGAACAGGCAAATAAATTCAGATAGCAATGTTCATTCTTGAAACACATTATACAGGTTGGACCAGAGACAAGGATAAGATTCATCTGTCAACTGAAGATATGCAACACTCTTTCACTGACTATCTATCTGTGAACAAAGTTTTGCATAAAGTCTCCTTGCTTGGTTAGGACGAGGGAAATCACGTGAACTCTAATTAACGTAAAAGATTCAGACATATAAAGATCTTCTAATAGAAATAATTGGAGACATTGCAGGGATAGGCAATGATTCTATGAATAAGAGTCCGGGATTAAAAGCTTTTGTTAGCAATACAGCTCAAGAGTCTAAAGGGAAGTAATATGTATTGGTTTACCATATGTCAGTTACTTGGAACTTTAGAGGCCCAGAGATACTGGAAATTCATGTGGATTTAGAAAATGCATTTTCCTTAAAAAAAAAAAAAAAAGAAAAAAGGAAGAAAGGAAAAAGAAAAAAATAAAGAGAGAAAAAGTATTGGTTAAAATGAGGTAATTTTCATTGATGTGTTTCTGCAGGTTCCAGGCAAAACTTCTATGACTCTTCATATAGAATAGATTACAACATCCTTTTACCATTTAATTGAGTACAACACAGACGGAAGGGAAGTTATTCTCCTCACTTTGCAAGAGTGTTGTTAAGCAAAGCATCAGAAATCTGCAGCTCAGCTTATCTGTAGCCTGAAATAAAATTTAGTTTGCAGTGGCAGATCTGTGGTACCATCAAGTCTGCTTGCTCCTGTAGTGTCCCAGCTGAGCTAGCAGGGATGTCTGCAGATTTCATGCATGATGCGTGGTAGAGGAAAATAAAGGGCAGCAGGAGAGGGAAATGGGAATTCAGCAAAGCAGTGCGGAAAAAAGTGAATTTTTCCTTGGGTAGCCCCTCTACTACATAGGAATAGGAAACTTGGCAAATATCCAATATCTAGGGTCAACAGATAGGGGAAAAGAGGTACAGCAGTTCAAGGAGTCATATTAATGTGACTGTATTTATACTCATTCACTTCTAAAGCCTCAGTCATTTGAAATATATTCCTTTATACTTCCAAACATCTTTATTTCAAAGATTATAAAATTAAAATGTATAATAATTTTTTAAAATTATTCTTTATGTGATGTATAAAAATCTTGGCATCTCTTTATCACAAAAGCACTTCAAAGAATATATATGCTTAATACAAATAAATGTGGTAATATGTAGCTACAAAAAGTATAAATAAAAATACCTGGATAAATTTATTTGATTCTGTAACAATACTATATTATATAACAACAAATATTTTGACTATTTTAACATTAATAATTATTAGTATTATTTATTAATTATATAAATTATTAATATTATTAGCACTATTACTCATTTCTTGCTCATAATAAGGTCCATGAAGATGATAGTGACTGGAATATATCTTTCTATTGAATTACTCAGGGACCCAGACTCATTCAGATCTCCCAAATGCTCTGTCTTCAGCAAGTAGAGAGACAAAGAAATCATACAAAAGGCACTTGTTTTATAAGACCTAAGACTTGGAAATGTTACATAGTTTACCTATACACATCTTTGTTGAGAACTAGATTCTCCATACATAAGAGACAAAGAGATGTTATGCCTTGCTAAGGGCAAACAATTATATATATGCCAGTAAGAAAATGAATCTTTGTGGATAGCTGATCCTCTGTAGTACAAACTGTATAGTGTTTATAATATATAAGATATTTTGACATATACTGTTTCATTTAATCCTTAAAGTAAGACTGAAACAGGTTAAAAGAGGATAAAATTTCGGATTCACATAGCTAGGGAAGAGTGAGGCTAGGGCTAAATTTTAGTAATTAGAGCCCACAATTCAGTGTATATTTCTATAACAGATATCTATGTAACTTAATTCGGTGAAATTCTTATGAAGTACCTAGATTATTTTTCTTCCTGGCATACCTATCCTTTATATAAACCATAATTTTATTATGTTTAATCTCCAAATTTCAAATAACACGCATTTTTACATTATTGCTTTGTATTTAAAAGCTAATGGAATTAAGCTAATTAACACTTCTCCAACTCATTATAAGGCATGCTAATTAGAATATGCCATTTATTGTTTTATAAGGTGTTTCAAACTAATAGGTAAAAATAAGAGGGGCATAGACATTTTAATTTCTTTATTAAGTATTTGGCTCTAGCTCAATCCGTGCCTAAATTTAACATATACATGTCACTAACTTACAAGCTTGTGATAACTATATAACATATCGATTGATTACTGATCTCTTTTAGCCATCGTCTAAATATAAACTACCCATTCTCCTGAATTGTATTAAAGCATATTATGTGGTTTGTGATGTGAGAAAGTGGGAAAAGCCTACTATGAAAACTGTTTGTTTTGAAAATCTAATTAGGTTTCAAATCTAGCTTTAATAAGCTTCCAATGCTTGAGTTGAATATAAAACATGAAAAATATGAAAAATATTTTCTACTCAACTCAAGCATTGAAAGCTTATTAAAGCTAGATTTGAAGCCTAATGCCTACAAAAGCACTTACTTCCCTCTGACAGTATCTTGCCTTCTCTTCCAGCTGTCTCTCGAAGCCCTTTCTTGTGTTATTATAACACTTCAAGATGACACTGTCAATTATTCTTAATCTGTCGTCTATTATTAGTCTCTGCAAAATTCAGAATCCCAGCAGATCTTAGTCTCATCTATCATATTGCCATGAAGAAGAAGTCTTTCCTTATAAGTAGAACAATTCTCATCCATAAATTTAAGATGTGGGTATAAAAAACACTTTAAAAAGCAACATTGTGCCTTCCTGTGTTACAAATTCAAATAAACATTTAGACCTTAGAACACCTATTCTTTAAGTAATTCTGCTGGATACTGAGCAGCTAAAAAATCATAAAATTATCATTGAATATTTTCAGCGTGTAGTGTCTTGGATAAGTATATACTCATTCAAAGAAATGGAAGACATAGTCAATGGCCTCAAAGAGGTTATATCCAGGGAGGATGGCGGAGTCAGTGGGCATTACATGCTCACTCAGTCTTATTGCTTGTATTGAAAATATGTTACCAGTGGAATTCAGTGTATGCTATATTTAGGGATATGGTGAATGATACTCCATAGTGAGCCCGTTTATTCTATGAAGGACCCTTAATAAACCAGAGGTTTTCCCCTGATAAACTGTGGCATATATACTCGAAGGTATTACAACTTTTCTTAGGGGAGCCCAAAGAGGTCCTGAATATCCCTCCTACATACCTTGATTATATTATATTCCCCTTAGCTCCCTTTCCCACTTGGCAAGCCGGAAAATGAGAAGATTCATTTAAAGCATAGCCAGCGGAATAAGGGATTTGAATTTCAGCAATATTTGCAGTGTGCTCAGATTCAATCACTCCAATGGACAGGACAGAAAAGAACAAACTAGCAGATCCTCTGATATTCACCTTTAGAATGAAAAAATATATAGAGATTATGTATAGTTTGATGCCGGTTTTCTCCCCTCTATTTAGTGTCTTTATTATATTTGAAATGTTCTAATATTCTAGCCAGTGCTTCAATACTCATATTTCGATGGAGTTAGAGGTGCTTTTAATTACAAAGGGTTCCCATCATGTACATGAGAATTCAATGCTCTGTTTGACTCACCCAAGCCTTTACTATAGGGAAATATTAGCTTTCTATAGCTGCTGTAACAAATTACTAAATCACTACTTAGTGGCTGCAAAAAACTCCAAATTATTTGCTTACAATTCTGTAGTTAGGAAATTCAAATGTTTCTCACTGGGCTAAGATGAAGGTGTTAGCAGGGGTGTGTTTCTTTCTGCAGCTTCTAAAAGTTACCGACATTGCATGGCTCTTGGCACTTCCCAACTTCAGAGCCCTCAGAGGCCTGTGTCTTTCTCACATGACATTACATCACTCCATCTCGGAATCTTCTACCTCCCTTTTTCAGATTAAAGGATCCTGTGATTACATTGGGCCTACCTGGATAATTCAGGATAATCTCTTTCTCCTAAAATCAGCTGATCAGCAACACTAATTATATCTGCAACCTTAATTCTCATTTCTATGTAATCTAACATATTCAGATTCCAGGGATTAGGATGTAGACATCTCTGGGAGGCATTATCCTGCCTTCCACATCAAGTAGCCTAATACCACAGGCACTTCAGTCTGTTGTCATAGTATGTATAACCAGGCCTTGCCGCTAATGTCCTATCATTTCCATTGCCTCTTTGAGGGCAATATGCCCAGCTAAAGACATGTGTGCCAAGAGTTTCAATTAGTGCAGGCATTCAGGATCTGGCCTACTATTTGCTGTCTAATCTCCAACAGAGATATAAAATTGGTACCACTTCTCAAAACCCGGACTTCCGTGAGAATCCTAGGATAATAATCTCAGCTTTTCTTAATACAAATCATCAGGTATCATGTACGTAGCCCAAGTCTGATGTAGGGTTATCTAGCCCCCATAGGAACCCTCCCCCTTTCCTGGGAAACAAAGTCCAAATGCAAAAGAGGACATGGGGTGCCATCAGTCACCTCCTATAAATAAGAGGTGAGATATTATACTTGACCCTACTTATTCACAAACCCATTCTTACCAGCCCTGCTAACTCTACCATATAAGCCAGGTCATACCACACAGAGAAATCTCAATTTAAAGATTTTTATTTGATTTTCTATCAGACCAGTAAATAAGCAATTTGAAATATTAAAAACAAGGGTAATATGAGTAACTGTGGTTCCCAAATGCCTCCTCATTTCAAGGGAAACGTATCTAAATGTAAGTCTTCATGGTTGGGAACGGGGCTAGGTATAGGGAGGGGTACAGTAGCTCTTAAGAGCCTATTGACTATCATATATTTTACAGCACAAGTCTCATATTCCATATTTGTCCTGGTCAAGTGCTACCACATTTAAATGTTCCATTTTGCTAACTTTAGAATTATTTACTTTTTTTTCTATTTTATCAACAAATATTATCCCTTCTTCAGGTGTTTTCAAAAGGGAGCTGTAAAATTTTTTCCTGCCCTTATCTTTCTTGTATATGTTTATCAGACATAGGGCACTGTATTCTGCCTCATAATATTTTAGTAGATTTTTACATGTATCAACTTAACAAAATATTCAATACATGACAAAATAATGACTTTAAATTCACTAGTATTAAATACTTTATTATTAAATACAGAACACAGACTATTTTATTATTATAATTGATACAGATATGTACTCTGAACACATACACAAGTCTGAGAAACTGGTAATCTTTTATGTGGCATATTAACAAGTATCAAAACAAAAGTTCTTTGAGCAAATAGTCTAAGAAAGTAATGGGTTAAAAAACAGGTTCAAATGTGCACATGTGTCTATGTTGTTTGTATGTGCATATGCAGATGACTTACAGTCCAAATGTGTTACATGGATCTCTACTGGGATACATGCAATATAGTGATAACAAAGGTAACTTAACTAAGGATGATACTTTTAGAAGAAAAATTCAGAGGAATATATTCAGTGAAACAAAATTGTGTTTATCTACTTTAAACAATCTCGGTTTTCCCTTTCACATTCTTTCTTTTATGTCTACGGTGTAATTCTCTTTAGAAATGAAAATGTACAATGACAATTCTTGCATTGTTTCTTTTTTATTTTGTGTGTCTCGGTTTTTTTGTGGTATATGATTGAGTTTTCTGCTTAAATTTTTACGGAAGTTGTAATGAGTTAATTGATAATTGCATCATTAGTTTACCTTTAATAATTTATATATCTAACATATTGTTTAAACCATTTTAATTATTGTTTTGTTTCTCAACAAATAAATAGAAATTATTTTATTATTATCATTATTATACTTAAAAGAATACAAAGAAAATAAGAAGATTATGCATAGCAACTTCTATCTGTAACAAAGAGGCTTAAATTTAGCTTATGTTACTATGCAATGATTTGCAAGTGAAAACTGTGAAAATGTTACTATGTCAAGCTTCTTAGGAGGATCTCGATCTTGCAGACTTTTGCTGAAATTAATGTTTTGGTAAGAACATTTTCTTAAATATGTATTTGATAGTCAGTACACAGTGTTTGAACAATGTGTATATATGCTATTCTGTTTTCCCAGGTAGTTATGGGAAAACCTTTCGCAGGCCTTTCAAATGACAAGCCTAGGGTTCCTTCTCAGGCTGCTGTATTCCCTAAGCTTTCCTTTCTTTCTTCTGCAGGAGCTGACCCTGGTTTGCTCTCCTTCCAAAGCCATTTTATTTTACTCTATTTTTTATTTATTTGTTTTTTTCTTCCTGCTCAACAGTTTCAGACCAAGTAGTAACACATTTTCTTAATTTTCATTTTCTGTGATGCACCTAAAGATAAAAACAAAAGAACCACAAAGGGCAAAAATAGCCATAGCAACACAAAGCTGACAGATTTTCTTGTAACATTGTCAAAAAACTGACAGATTTCTATTTTTTTTTCTTCAAAGTCTGAATCTCCAGCAGTTTATTGTGAAGATACTATTTTTGAACAAAAAAAGACATGGACATTTACATGACGAAATGTTGACAAATGATGTGGTTTTGAATTCGATCCTAATTTGTCAGTCCTATTTAGCCTTTCTCAAATGAACTTCATCATCTATAAATGGTTTTTGTCGTAAATTGACTTTATTCTATGCAATTTAAAAAGTATTTATTAAATATGATCTCCACATTGTAAGGTACTACAAGCATACAAACATTACTCATATGCAGAGAAAAGCATTCGAGCCACAGTGCCTATCTGTCACTGGACCATTCCAGGCATCCTCATAATAAAGTGACAATAGAACTTGTGGGCCTTGAAAATAATACTTAATAGGATTGCTTCTCTGGCAAGAAACCATTCATGCTTATATTAACTTTCTAAATCTAAATTGAATGATTTCCAAAAGATTGTCTTTTAGTTTTTGTTGTTCCTTAATATCCTGCATTTTAAAATGTAGCAGTAATGTGATACTGGATATTCTAAGTTGTGTGCTTGTGTATGTGTGTGCTTATGTCATGGTATGGGGTTGAAGAGTAACTAGGCTTTGACCAAGTAGGTATTAAGGAATCAAGAACATCCATCAGTTTTTAAGTGACATGATATGCTTGTCCCTCTAGATAGTATAAAATCCAGAAAAAAATCTTGCTTTTATTTATTTATTTATTTATTTTGATTACACTTTACGTTCTAAGATACATGTGCAGAATGTGCAGGTTTGTTACATAGGTATACATGTGCCATGGTGGTTTGCTGCACCCATCAACCCGTCATCTACATTAGGTATTTCTCTGAATGCTATCCCTCCCCTACCACCCCACCCCTTGACAGGTCCCCATGTGTGATGTTCCCCTCCCTGTGTCCATGTGTTCTCACTGTTCAACTTCTACTTATGAATGAGAACATGCAGTGTTTGGTTTTCTGTTTGTGTTAGTTTACTGAGAATGATGGTTTACAGTTTCATCCATGTCCCTGCAAAGGACATGAACTCATCCTTTTTTGTGACTGCATTGTATTCCATGGTGTATATGTGCCTCATTTTCTTTATCCAGTCTTTCATTGATGGGCATTTGGGTTGGTTCCAACTCTTTGCTATTGTGAACAGTGCCACAATAAACATATGTGTGCATGTGTCTTTACAGTAGAATGATTTATAATCCTTTGGGTATATACCAAGTAATGGGATTACTGGGTCAAATGGTATTTCTGGTTCTAGATCCTTGAGGAATCACCACACTGTCTTCCAAAATAGTTGAACTAATTTACACTCCCACCAACAGTGTAAAAGCATTCCTATTTCTCCACATCCTCTTTAGCATCTGTTGTTTCCTGACTTTTTAATAATTGCCATTCTAACTGGCATGAGATGGTATCTCATTGCAGTTTTGATTTGAATTTCTCTAATGACCAGTGATGATGAGCTTTTTTTCACGTTTGTTGGCTGCATAAATGTTTTCTTCTGAAAAGTGTCTGTTCATATCCTTTGCCCATTTTTTGATGAGGTTTTTTTTCTCTTGTAAATTTGTTTAAGTTCTCCATAGATTCTGGATATTAGCCCTTTGTCAGATGGATAGATTGCAAAAATTTTCTCCCATTCTATAGGTTGCCTGGTCACTCTGATAATTGTTTCTTTTGCTGTGCAGAAGCTCTTTAGTTTAATTAGATCCATTTGTCTATTTTGGCTTTGGTTGCCATTGCTTTTGGTGTTTCAGTCATTAAGACTTTGCCCATGCCTTAAGTAGTGGTTCCTTCTCCACATTTTCATTCTGAAATGGTAATTCAAAGCAATGATTTGAAAGTTCAACATCTTAAAACAATTGTATTTTGATTAATTTTAGTCACATCATGAGTTTGCCTGAGTCACTTGAAAAGCAGAAGCCAAAACCAGATTAACCTTGCAAGAGATATATTAGGGACAAAGACTGTATGGAAAGATGAAATAGTTGGAGAAGGGCAAGAGAGCCATCAGCTCTTGATACAGTTTTGACTCATGTTAAAGGAAAAATGGAAGGAAGAAAGACTGAGTAGAAGCATCTTAGATTGCATTGCAGTTCTACAAGTTCAACATGGCCTTTACAGAGATCTTGAAACAAAGTCATCCAACAGCAGAAGATTCCAGTGTCTCCTAGAAATGAGTGTGCATTAGTATCTTTGTCATGCTCACTCATTAGCTGGGAATAGTGAGAAGGATGGTCTTAAGGAAAAATATCTAATAGGTTTCATTGCTCAGTGACTGTGGCCTATGCTCAATTATGTTCCCTGCAATTACTGATTAGAGAATGGATTCTAATGGCCATCACACATCATATAACTCTCAACATTTATATAAATGTTTCTGTTACTGGAAGTAGTTGATCTTTCTCCTAACTATACCTATATTATCTTACAGTCATTCCATATAATTCCACCAACACTTGGAATATCAGTTAATGAAACACTTTTGAGGTCTTAAGAGAATTAGAAATAAGCAATGGTAAGCATGACTCAGAAGTAATTTGCCAATTTTTGTTGTTACTTTCTCTGACCCTTTTCATCTCATGAGCATGCTGCAATTAGGTTGTGCAATGAGATCTTCTTTTTAGCAGTCTTGGGCACTGTTTATAAATATAGGCATATTAGTCTTAAATTTACCATTTTTAAGCTATTTTGAAACATCACACTATGAATTTGTTTTAATGTATATATACTCTAGGCACTTTTTCTTCACATCTACCTGACTTGTTTTTTTTTTTGGACGGAGCCTCACTCTGTCACCCAGACTGGAGTGCAATGGTGCTATCTCAGCTCACTGCAATCTCCACCTCCCAGGTTCAAGCGATTCTCCTGCTTCAGCCTCCCGAGTAGCTGGGACTACAGGCACATGCCACCATGCCTGGCTAATTTTTGTATTTGTAGTAGAGACGGGGTTTCACTATGTTGACCAGGCTGGTCTCGAACTCCTGACCTCGTGATCCGCTTGTCTCGGCCTCACAAAGTGCTGAGATTACAGGCGTGAGCCACCATGCCCAGTCCTACTTGATGTTTTTATAATTCCTTTTTATTTCAATATCTGCCTAGATACATATTTAATAAAAATACAGTTTAGTATAACAACACATAAAAATATTTTGCATGTTAATCACAGTTGTTATCTACTTCTTAAAGGAACCAAATAAATACATAATGTGACTAAAATTCATCAAACAAAAATTTGCATGTTTTTCAGACCTTCAACTTTCCAATAATTGCTTCAAAATACCATTTCAAAATAAAGCTTATAGCATCACATGGTAATGTCTACTTTCTTTGTTTGTTATTATTATTATTTTTATTATACTTTAAGTTCTAGGGTACATGTGCACAACGTGCAGGTTTGTTACATATGTATACATGTGCCATGTTGGTGTGCTGCACCCATTAACCCATCATGTTTAATGTCTACTTTCAAGATGATATATTGGCAAACACTGATTCCACTATGGCTAATTTTACTAATGCTAATATGCTTCCACCACTGGAGGCAGGACTTGGTTCTTTTTTATCTCTTTATCCTAGTCTCTATTTTCGAATTCTTAGACAAACAGATTCTTAGATTTTCAAAAAAGGATTGTTGGTCAAATGAGGAATGTAACAAAGTTCCGAAAATATACATGAAGAGATTTTGCAATAAAGGTATTTTAAAATGTGAATTCGAAAAATATACATAGAATGTAGATGAGACTGAGAATACTAAATTAAAGTGATGGAAAACCTTAGTTATTAAAAATCTTAAATGAATCCTTCCAAACAGTGATTCTGTGTTTTCTCAAAAACAAAGAATATTGGATCTAGATTTACAGGAATTTCAAAAGAATATTATGAGACGGAGAAGAAAAGACTGTTACAGGTTTTGTCCTTTGACTACAATTTAAAAAAAATCCTTTACTCAATTCCTTTAAGAATAACCTTGGGAAAGACAACATTGTGAGTCAGTGGATCAGAAACTATAGGAGGTGAATATAGTCATATGACTACTAAGGTGGCAATGGCCTAACCTTTCCAAGGCCTTCAAGCTATGAGTGAAGGGTTTTAAATTGCATTCAAAATTGTATTATTTGGTATAGGGATGGAAACCATCAACTCAAAAAGGATTTTTTTTTCTTTTGTCTTCTTTTCTGTTCTTCTCACCTTAGCACCCTCTGGGATTGGTCAAAGAAGTATCAAAATATCTGGAATCATTCATCTGGCTTCATGCTTTCTGAGCTACTATATAAACAAAAAAAATCAATAAAGGTGTTATCTGCTTCTTGTAACTATGTTTTGCAGTTTTTCAGTGTTTTTTTTGTTTGTTTATTTTTGCTTTTGTTTTTTTTTTTTCTCTTTTGGTCTCCAGGGATCATATAGCACTTGGAAGCCTGGTCTTCCAACGAATTTCCGTTTGTTCCCAGTTACTTGTAAGCTAATTCTTTTTATATTTAAAACCTACCAATTTTTGAATTCCTAAATGTATTTAGGTATAAAAAGTTTTTCATCATTTTGTACGTGGTACTTATTGGAATAAGCCATAAAAATTGGATGATTTTTAGATATGGGGTTTGGGGTTAATATGTAGCAAATATGCATGATGCAAGAGAAATGATGTATTTTACACATTTAATTTATACAATTGAAAGTTTTGGTGCCTAAAAAAAGTTGAGCACATGTTTTATCATCAACTTTCTAAAGCATGCATTGATTGCCTTTTTCATTGTTTTTATTACCTTTAGGGAAAAAATATTGCTATTTAATTTGTGATTTTTTAAGGATCAATTAAGATAAATCGTTTTACTCTTTTCTAGTCACATTTAATCATATTCTCTCAGAACCAGATATGTAAAAATGTATCAGTTATATTTGATTTGTTGTTCTTCACCACAGTTATACCCTACATATAGTACTCAACAGGCAACCCAATCTTAATTATTCAAAGCTTCTTTTGTTAGTTACAATACTTCACTAAAATTATATTGCACTGAAATTATACAACACTGCAATGAAATTAAAACATACAGTATTATAATTTTTTCAACCCTTCATCTTCTAATATAATCAAAGTGGAAATAAAAAGGTGTTGGCATAATCTCTCTAAAGATCTGTGATGGTGATGTTCTCTGCTCATTTTCTACAGTTATATACAGTTGTGATTTTATCACCAATCATAGTTGATTGACATCAGAAAGAGTACTGTATGAATGACTGAATAGTCCATTTTTCTCTCCATGGTCTTGGTTCCTTGTTGAAAAGTACCTTCATTATCTCCAAAGTGTTTCTCAAACCTGTTGTAACCTCATAGTCACTGCTTTTTCCTTTGTTTACTTTCCCTCAACATTTGTTTTGAATTGCTAGCTTATGGTTTCTCTTGACTTACCAAATAATATTAATCTCGTCATTTCTTTCTCTGAAAATCTCAAGTGCTTTAAAGCCAGTAGGGAAATTTTAAACTTTTCATTATGGACTACTAAGCCTTTCACAATCTCTGGTCTACCTACATTTTAATCCCCTAGTAGTCTGAAATACATCTTACCTTCATCCTTTTAAACAGATGCAATACTGATCAGCAGAAAAAAAAGTATTGTTCAAGTTTTATAGGTAAGTAAGTAGATTCAATATGATTAAGAAACTGATTTAGCTTTATTATCCATAGCTAATAACTGGTAGAAATATGATTTGTTTTCAACATTTCTTTAGTGTTCTTTCCACTATTCTATACCCACCCTCATATATGTTGGTTAATTGTAAATTTAAGAGCCTATGAGTGCTATTTAAAATCTAATGAATGAATAAATTGAATTCCATTTTATTCATGCTTACTGGTGATTAACACATTGGTTAATTTTAGTATCTAAAAAGTGTTCTGTAACACCATACATACTCTTCATTATTATTCAGTTTAAACACTTGTTACTGTCATTTTTCTTGTATTTTCCCACTATCTGAATGTCTACATCTACTGGTCTAGTCTCATGCATGACTCTTCAGTATAGGATTAAACCTGTTTTATTTCAGTATTTTGATATGTGTTCAAGTGGCAAGCATTTAAAACAAATGCAAAAATTACATCCAAATTTAGTCATTTTTGAATAAAAACTTGTATTAGTCCATTTTCACACTGCTGATAATGACATACCTGAGACTGAGCAATTTCAAAAGAAGGAGGTTCAATGGACTTACAATTCCAAGTGGCTTGGGAGGCCTCACAATCATGGTGAAAGATGAAAGGTATGTCTCACATGGCAGCAGACAAGAGAAGAGAGCTTGTGCAGGGAAACTCTGCCTTATAAAACTATCAGATCTCATGAGACTTATACACTATCATGAGAACAGCACAAGAAAGACCTGCTCCCATGATTCAATTATCTCCCACCGGGTCCCTCCCACAACATGCAGCAATTCAAGATGAGATTTGGGTGAGGACACAGCCAAACCATATCATTCCAGCACTGGCTCCTCCCAAATCTTATGTCCTCACATTTCAAAACCAATCATGTCTTCCTAACAGTCCCCCAAAGTCTTAACTCATTTCAACATTAACTCAGAAGTCTACAGTCAAATTTTTCATCTGAGATAAGGCAAGTCCCTTCCACTTACAAGCCTGTAAAATCAAAAGCAAGTTAGTTACTTTCTAGATACAATGGGGGTACAGGCATTAGGTAAATACAGCCATTACAAATGGGAGAAATTGGTCAAAACAAAGGGATTACAGGACCCATGCAAGTCCAAAAATCCAGCAGGGCAGTCAGTTCTTAAAGCTCCAAAATGATCTCCTTTGACTCCATGTCTCATTTCCAGGTTGCCAAGATGCAAGAAGTGGGTTCCCATGGTTTTTGGCAGCTCTACTTCTTTGGCTTTTTAGGATTCAACCTCCATCCCGGCTGCTTTCAGGAGCTGGCATTTAGTGTCTGTGGCTTTTTCAGGTGCAAGGTGCAAGCTGTTGGTGGATCTACCATTCTGGGGTCTGGAGGATAGTAGATCCCTTCTCACAGCTTCACTAGGCCACTAGTGCTCCAGTAAGCACTCTGTGTGGGGCCTTCAACCCCACATTTCCCTTTCACACTGCCATAGCAGAGGTTCTCCATGAGTGCCCCATTCCTGCAGCAAACTTCTGCCTGGACATCCAGGCTTTCCCACACAACCTCAGAAATCTAGGTGGAGGTTACCAAATCTCAATTATTGACTTCTGTGTACTTGCAGTCTCAACACCACATGAAAGCTGCCAAGGGTTGAGGCTTGCACCCTCTGAAGCCATGTCCTGAGCTCTATGTTAGCCTCTTTCAGCCACAACTGGAGCAGCTGGGACCCAGGGCATCAAGTCCCTAGGCTGTACACAGCACAAAGACCATGAGCCTGGCCCATGAAACAAGTTTTCTCTTCTAGGTGTCAGGGCCTGGAATGGATGGGGCTGCTATTAAGACCTCTGACATGCCCTGGAGACATTTTCCCCATTGTCTTTGGGATTAATATTTGGCTTCTCATTACTTATACAAATCTCTGCAGCCAGCTTGAATTTTTCCTTGGTAAGCGGGATTTCCTTTTTTATCACATTGTCAGGCTGAAAATTTTCCAAAGTTTTATGCTCTTCTTCCTTTATAAAACTTAATGCCTTTAATAGCACACAAGTCACCTCTTGAATGTTTTGCTGCTTAGAAATTTCTTCTGCCAGATATCCTAAATCATTTCTTTCAAGTTCAAAGTTCCACAAATCTCAAGGGCAGGGAAAAGGGCAGGGAAAAATTGCAGCCAGTCTCTTTGCTAAAACATTAACAAGAGTCATGTTTTCTCTAGTTCCCAACGAGTTCCTCATTTCCATCTGAGACCACCTCAGCGTGGACTTTATTGTTCATATTGCTATCAGCATTTTGGGCAAAACCATTCAACAAGTCTCTAGGAAGTTCCAAACTTTCCCACATTTTCCTATTTTCTTCTGAGCCCTCCAAACTCTTCCAACTCCTCCCTGTTACTGAGTTCCAAAGTCGCTTTTACATTTTCGGGTATCTACAGCAGCAGCCCACTCTACTGGTAACAATTTACTGTGTTAGTCTGTTTTTACACCGCTAATAAAGACATACCTGAGACTGGGCAATTTACAAAAGAAAGAGGTTTAATAGACTTACAGTTCCACCTGGCTGGGGAGGCCTCACAATCCTGGCAGAAGGTGAAAGGCACGTCTTGCATGGCAGCAGACAAGAGAAAGGAGTTTGTGCAGGGAAACTCCGCCTTATAAAACCATCAAATCTCATGAGGCTTATTCACTATCACAAGAACAGCATGGGAAAGATCTGCCCCTATAATTCAATTACCTATCACTGGGTCCCCCCTGACAACATGTGGGAATTCGAGATGAGATTTGGGTGGAGACACAGACATAACATTTTTGGGTCTAATCGTATTAAGCAGCCAACTCCAGAAATCCCAAAACCAGTGAAAAAACTTCATCCTTAATATTCTGTTCCTCTAGAACCATCCCACTCTGGTACCAAATTCTGTATTAGTCAGGGTTCTTTAGAGGGACAGAGCTAATAGGATAGATGTATATATGAAGGAGAGTTTATTAAGAAGTATTAACTCACATGATCACAAGGTGCTGCAATAACACATCTACAAGCTGAAAAGCAAGGAAGCCAGCCCAAGTCCCAAAGCTGAAGAACTTGGAGTTTGATGTTTGAGGGCAGGAAGCATCCAGCACAGGAGAAAGCAGTTGGCTGGGAGGGTAAGCCAGTCTATTCTCTCCATATTCTTCTGCCTGCTTTTATTCTGGCCATGCTGGCAGCTGATTAGACTGTACCACCAAGATTGAGGGTGGGTCTGCATTTCCCAGTCAACTGACTCAAATGTTAATCTTCTTTGGCAACACCCTCACAGACACAGTACACATCCAGGAACAATACTTTGTATCCTTCATTCCAATCAAGTTGACACCCAGTATTAACCATCACAGAAGTGTGTCACTTCAAAATGTCTTATGAAAAGTGCTGAAATATTTCTATGTAAAAATATAATCAAATCAAATTTCCATTCCCTGTCTTCTAACCAGTAAACTTGTGTGTCTTTATGTGCAGACTAATGTAGCAAACTAATTTATGATAAACACATAAATTGAATAAAGCTCAGAAAATTAAACAACAACCTATTTGGGAAAATTTGTCAGCAGTCATTAGCTCAACTGCACAATACAGAGTATTGAAAATTGTTTTAAAATTAATATTTCAAAATGAACAGTAATGATAATCAACAATTTCAGGCATTGTTTTTATTTCTATAAATAAATAAATAGGTCAATAAATAAATTCTTATAAATAAAACTGCCCAATGAATAAATACTTGAATTCCACCAAGGTATTCAAAATGGCATAAATCTTCCTTCATCTGGTTAAGCTGTCAATGTTTAAACAAGCACACCTACACACTCCCATGTATATGAGCACACACACATACACACACATTTACACACATTTTTCAACAGAGAACCAGTAACCAAAATCACCTAATAGCTTTAAAACATAGAGTTTAAATGTCTAATGTTGTTTTCTCTGTACTCTAGGTATGCTAGATATAACTACCTCCTCAATATTATCAGATAGTTTTGGCATAAATACATATTATTGATGTATGTTTTTTAATTGTTATAAAATAGGCAGATTTTCTTTTTTTAATCAGTTTTGCTAAATTTATCTTTCTCCAATTAGAGAGCAGTTCTAGGCTTTGTTGATCGTCTCAAGCATACATATATTTTCCTTGTATTAATGCCCGACTTTGTCTTAATCCCTTTATCTTTCTTTGTTTTTTTATTGTTAATTTTTAAAATTGTAAGTTATGTATTTATCTCATTTTTTATTTTTTATTTTCTAGTATAGTTATTGAAGACTATAAAATTATTTCAAAGATCAATCAGTGTATTGGCTTAACAAAACTTTATATGTGTTTTTTTGTGTGTTACATTAAAATCTAAGGATGTATTTAAAGTTTCATTGTTATTTTTCTGAGTAATGAATTATTTATAAGTGTGATTTAAATTTTTAAATGGGTGAAAGCTTCAATTATCTTGACTTTCATATCTAAATTTTTAACTTGATATGTGATAAGATTCTTTGTGTGACACAGGTTACTGATACTTTATTATTGACATTTCAGTGTATTTGTGTGTTAGCTATGCTGCCTGTAAATGACATATAGCTGTCATTTAACTATATAATTTAGATCTTCTGGATGGAGTGAACAATATAGTTTTAAGTCTTTGTATCATGTCTTTTTGGTCTTTGTATGTATTCTTCTTTATTTCTCCTTTCTTTGGATTGATTTTTTTTCTTTATCTTTTTTAAACATTTTTGGAATGTAAATCCTTTAATTTTATGCTTTATTTTACAAGCTACTTGTGTTAGTTTTCTAGGACTGCCATTACAAAATACCACAGACTGGGTGACTTAAATGACAGAAAATTACATTTTCATACTCTAGGAGGCTGGAAGGCCAAGACCAAGATGACAGCAGGGTAGGTTTCTTCTGAGGCTGCTTTCTGGCTGTATTCTCATATCAGCTCACATCCACATCCCTGGTGTTTCTTTCTCTTCTTATAAGGACACCAGTCGTGTTGGATTAGGAGCCCAAATTTTATGACTTCACTTAACCTTAATTTTCTCTTTAAAGCAATATTTCCTGAAACAGTCACATTCTAAGGTACTGGGGGCTAGGGCTTCAGCATATACATTTTGGGCAGGGTACAATTCAGGTCATAACATTACCTGATCTACTGAGGAGGTGAAAAGAAATAAATTTCTTTTTTATCTGAACTATATGAATTTAGAATTTTAATTCCAATTACCTCCATTTTCCTATATCATATTTTTATATTTAAACTTAAATCCCCAAAGTTGTCATTTTTATAATCACTAACTTATGTCAACTTTCACTCATATTTACCAAAATGCTTATTAATTTATTTTTTAGTCTTTTTTGAGTCTTTTTTGAATCTTAGTTTTCTTCTCCTGGAAATAAATTATTGAGCACTTCTTACTAATTTATTTAAGATATTTTAGTAGAAACCTGTCTCATTATTTTAAAGAACAATGCCTTTTCAACTTGTTCTTAAAGAATGGTTAACCATAGTACAGTATTCTACATTAATATCTGTTGTCTATCAGAATGCTGAAGCTATTAATTTGTTGTTTTCTATTTCATTTTTGCTCTTGATAAGTTTGCTGTCATTTAAATTAAGATTTGTCCATTAGAATCTGTTCCCTCTGGATGTTCTTGAAGTCCTGCTACTGTCATTGATGATCTAAAGTTTCATTATGGTGTGTCTAGTTTTTAATTACACTTAATAGATTTTCTTGTACTTTACTATATTTGAGATTATTATCTCTAATAAATTATGAACCAGCTTAAGCTTTTATTTTATGAGTGTCCCTTTCCTTAATCTATTCTCTTTTACAATTTTGGGAATATTTAGGACAGAAATAATCATCCTCATCCTCTTCGTTAATGATTCAGAAATATTAATATTTTCTATCTCTTTGCCTTTTTGAGTTTGTCCTCTCTAATTTCTTCATTTGTCTTTTAATTCCCTCATAAACCATGCATAATCTATTGGTAATCAATTTATGTAGGTTTAATTTTAATCATAATATTTTTGAGTTTTGTTCTCTCTTTTTAAAAATCAATCTTGTCATTTTTATAGTATCATTTTATTTGGTCAAGTTTCAAATCTCCCTTTGAAAATTTTGTACCAGTTTTAGTCACACTTAATTTTATGTTCAGCCTTTGACAATTATAGTATATAAGAAAAGTCCTTAGAGATTGAATTCTGCTACTTATTGTTTCCACTGACTCTTGGTCCTGGGGACCTATGTGCTATGGTGCTTTATAGTATGTTCATGTTCACTTGAGGTCTATGTGATGCTCTTGCTGCCAGGCCTGATTTGAGAAAATGCTCCACTAAGGAGATCACATTTTGCTTCTCATAGCTGTCCTGATTCTCTATCAACCCGAGACCAATTAAACCTTTTTCTTAACTTTGCCTTTTCTGGATCAGTTGAAACCAAAACCTAGCAGAGAACAAAACATGGATTTTGAATGATCAAAATTCATATTTAAGAGGAGGCTTTGATTTTTCTCCCTAAAGCCCAAATAAAGACAGTGATTCTTTTTCTTTCTATTTTGCTGATGAAAAGATTTCTTCTAGCCATCTCATTGCTGGAGTGTGTAGGCATTTGATATCCTGGCTTTATATGTAAATCTCAGTTCTAGTTATTCAATTTATTTTGACCAGAGGCATCATCTGTCCCTGATGTTCTCATTAGAATCCATACCTCTGCATCATTTTAGTCTGAAAGCACTCTTTAAAAAAAGTTTTAATGCTAGCTTTTATAGCAGTCCCTTTTTTGTTCAAGGTCCAGGGGTCTCTTTATTTCCATGAAAGCATATAAGATGATATTTGTTATTCCATATACACAGTTTTTAGGTGTTTGTGATAGGTATCAATTTGAGTAGCTGATCTGTAATGTTAATTGAAATGTATTGAAGACGTATGATTTCTAGAAATTTTGGAGTTTTTTCCTTAGGGTAAAGCATTAATTTTTATATGTTGGGTGAAAAAAAAAACAGACTTTGAAGGTCTATAGACCTAATGATTTCTGTATTCTCTACAAATAAGTTATATTTCAAGTCATCTAATGAGACTGAGAAGAAAGGGATTATGAAGTGGGCTAGAAAATCAGGATACAAGTATGGTATGGCTGCTAAGAGAACTGGAGTTAGAAACCAATTGCCATTCATATTCATGAACCTGTTTGACTTTGAAACTAATGATTTGTTAAAATTATTAGTTTAAAATAAGTATCATTATTTTAAACTAACTTAAAATTATTTAAAATAATTTAATTATTTTAAACTATTATTTAAATTATATTTAAAACAAGTATTATTTGAAAAAATTAATATACATTTCAAAGTTGATATTTAGATTAATATCAAGTAGAAATGTACATAAAGCATAGGACTGATTTTAGTTCAGGATAATAATGGCCTTTAATATTTATGGAATAGTATACTATAATATTAATGTATAACTATTGGAATGCTAGTAGTATACCCTGCACTTCAACAATTATAGTAAATATTGTTAGCTAGTGAATCTTGAAAGAATTAATTTTCTAAATAAAACAATTTGATTATCTCAAAGCAGACAAATTTTAAAAATTGAAACATACCGACATTCAAAGGTCATAAGTACAAACTTTTTTACTAATATAAACAAATACACTGGCCGATATTTATGTATAAATATCATTAAGATACTGTTTTATCTGTAATATAAAACAAATGCCATTTTTCCTGATATAAAAGTAACACAGAATACACTTACCTAGTTCTGTCCAATTTAGTGAATGTACTCAAATTTAGCCATTAGAATTTGGCTAATATTTTTATACAATTAAAGTTGCCATTTCAAACATTCGTT